>NC_000005.10:164549202-164852233 GCF_000001405.40 Homo sapiens
TGTCTTTGGTTCTGTTTATATGATGGATTACATTTATTGATTTTCGTATGTTGAACCACCCTTGCATCCCAGTGATGAAGCCAACTTGATCGTGGTGGATAAGCTTTTTGATGTGCTGCTGGATTCGGTTTGCCAGTATTTTATTGAGGATTTTTGCATCAATGTTCATCAGGGATATTGGTCTAAAATTCTCTTTTTTGGTTGTGTCTCTGCCAGGCTTTGGTATCAGGATGAAGCCAGCCTCATAAAATCAGTTAGGGAGGATTCCCTCCTTTTCCATTGATTGGAACAGTTTCAGAAGGAATGGTACCAGCTCCTCTTTGTACCTCTGGTAGAATTCGGCTGTGAATCTGTCTGGTCCTGGCCTTTTTTTGGTTGGTAAGCTATTAACTATTGCCTCAATTTCAGAGCCTCTTGTTGGTCTATTCAGGGATTCAACTCCTTCCTGGTTTAGTCTTGGGAGGGTGTATGTGTCTAGGAATTTATCCATTTCTTCTAGATTTTCTAGTTTATTTGTGTAGAGGTGTTTATAGTATTCTTTGATGGTAGTTTGTGTTTCTGTGGGATTGGTGGTGATATCCCCTTTCTCATTTTTTATTGCGTCTATTTGATTCTTCTCTCTTTTCTTCTTTATTAGTCTTGCTAGCGGTGTATCAATTTTGTTGATCTTTTCAAAAAACCAGCTCCTGGATTCATTGATTTTTTGAAGGGTTTTACATTCTAAGAAATGCACCGTTAGGCAATTCCGCCATTGTGCAAACATCATAGAACGTACTTACAGAAACTGAGATGGCGTAGTCTACTACACATGTAGGTATATGGTATAGCCTATTGCTCCTTGACTATAAGCCTGTACAGCATGTTAGTGTACCAGTACTGTAGGCAATTATAACATAATGGTGAGTACTTGTGTATCTAAACATATCTAAATATGGAAAAAGTATGCCAAAACTACAGCATAAAAGATTTTTAAAATGGTACCACCTATATGTATATGTATAATTAGTTACCATGAATTGAGCTTGCGGGTCAGAGAGTTGCTCTGGGTGAATGAATCAGTGAGTGAGTGGTGAGTGAATGTGAAGGCCTAGGATATCAGTGTACACTACCGTAGATGTTACAAACACTGTAGAGTTAGGCTGCATTAAATTTTTAAAAAACTATTTTCTTTCTTTAATAGTAAATTAAGCTTAGCTTACTGTAACCTTTATATTCTATAAACTTACTAATTTATTAAAAAACCTTTTAACTCCTTTGTAGGAACACTTAGCTTAAAACACAAACACATTTTAGAGCTGTACAAAAATTATATTCTTATTCTTTCAGCTTTTTTCTATTTGTAACTTTTTCCTTTTTAAAACATTTTTGTGCAAAAATGAGACGCAAATACATACATTAATTTAACCCACACAGAGTCAGGCTCATACCTAACACTGTGTTCCACCTCCACATCTTGTCCCACTGGAAGGTCTTCAGGGGCAATAACACGCATGGAGCTGTCATCTCCTATAACAGTGCCTTCTTCTGGAATACTGCCTGAAGGACCTGCCTGAGGCTGTTTTTCAGCTAACTTTTTTATAAGTAGAAGGAATACATGGGAAAAATAATGATAAAAAGTATAATATAGTAAATACATAAATTAGGAACAAAGTCATCTATTATCTAGTATTATGTACTATACATAATCATATAAACTATACTTTCACATGACTAGCAGCACAGTAGGCTTGTTTACACCAGCATCATCATAAACACATGAGTAATGCATGGCGTTTATGATGCTTATGATGTTAAGATGGCTACCATGTCATGAGGCAATGGGAATTTCTCAGCTCCATTAAAATCTTAGGTGACCATCATCATGTGTGAGGTCCATCATTGACCAAAGTGTTGTTTTAAGGTGCATTTCTGTACTCACAACATGATTACTTCTATTTTTCTCAGGACATCAAACGTCACAGGAAGGAATTTCTATCTAGATTTGTTTGCCTCCTATCTAAAGAGGGTTATCTGCCTCTGAACAGACTATTCTTGAGTTTAAATAAAAAACACAGTGGCAAGGTTTTTTTTTTACAGGTAAGAGGATAGGAAATGTAACAAAAGTAGTTTATGATATATGATATGTAGAGTGGGTGAGTTTTCCAAATACATGTTCAACAAGCCTTTAAAACAGCCAGCCACATATTAGGATGTATAGATAATCTCCTGAGAAATATCTTTACTAAGAAGAAAAGTCAAAAGTTTGACAGATATCTAACTATAGATGTCATACATGTCCCTGTCAGTTGTAAAAAGTAAGAATGTTTATTGCAAACACAGTATCTGATAAAATGTCTGAAAAATGTTTGAAAGACTAACAGCTGACAAACAAAGCAATGTGCAAGTAAGATCTGCTGCTGAAAGGATAGTAAAAGAAGTGCTATATTTGAACACCATAAGCGAGAGAGTTGGGAGAATGAGGAAATATAAAGTATCTGCAATCACAAGGTACCTATTAGGCCTGATTCTGCCATTTTCTAGGATTGGGACTTTGCCTCAGTCATTAACCTCTCTGAGCTTATTTCTCTTTTGTAAACAAACAAATAAATGACAGAAAATAGTCATATTATACTCAGGGACTGAGTTACTTAAGAACATGTTTTTTCAAAACTTTTGCAATTCAAGGTCGAACCTGGATCAATTCTCTAGACATTTCTGTTTACCAGCTTCAGCACCATTGTCACGACTTGATTCATCACATATAAATGGTTAAACCTTCAGATTTCTTTGGAAAATATTGTCTACCAAAGCCCAAGTTAAAAATAGCAAATACAAATAAACTTTATCAACATGAAAATATAAACAGTAGCAAAAATCACAATGTTAATGCTCATTGTAAATGTTTATGGGGGGCTTAATATTTATCAGGTTTTTTAGAAATAAGTTTTACTGTGTGTACTTAAGGTACACAACATGATGTTATGGAATATATGCAGATAGTAAAATGATTACTATGCTGAAGCAGATTAGCATACCCATCATCTCAAATAGTTATCTATTTTGTTGTTGTTTTGTGGATAGCACAGCTAAAATCTACCCATTTAGTGTGAATCCCAGATACAGTACAATTGTGTTACTTACAGTCCTCAAGTTGTGCATTTGATCTCTAGACTTGTTCATTTTATGTATCTGTTTTTCAGGATTCATATGCATCATCTCATTAGGTCCTCACAGCAGCTCTGTGACTTAAAGGACTGTTGTCTCTATTGTCTAAACCTATACAGGAATTGACAAAGGCAAGATATGGATCCGAAAAGCCTGACTCTGGAGTTTGGAATGTTAGCCATGATACCAGCAACATTTCATACAGCCATATGCTGGTCTTGAAAGCCTTTACCATGTTACAAAATTTGTTTTTCTTAATAGAAGCACCTGTTACATGGAAAGGCCTCACGTATTTCTGGTACTGATCACTATTTTTCTCTTCTTATGCCTCTCTAATTATGTGCCCATCAGAATAAAATCTTATTTAGGTGCAATCATATATTTTTCATTTTTTGAATGCCCAAAATATTTTTCATAGTGAATCTTGAATAATATACTTAACAAATACTAAAAACATGATATATAATATTCACCTCTATTCCAAGGGACAGAGTACTTAAGTGTATCAAAACCAAATTTTCCTCTATCTGCTTTATACAAAGTCTACTTGCCTTCAGTGAATGACCACCTGAAAAACTAAATTAGAACAAGCTTATTACATTACAAAATTATTTTTGAATATGTAAAAGCAAGCAGTTCTCAGGGCCATTTTATATAATACTCCTTGTACTATTTAACATTTCTAAAACAATCAATATGCTGAGAATATTTCTATGCTCAGTTTGTCTCAGAACGAATGGTCTTTCAGAATATTAGAGAACACTTGAAGATGTGCTTTGCAAAGCAAATGCAAGCTTTGAATTTTCAATCTGTCCTTTTAACCTCTGATCATGTCACGGAAAACAATATACTTTAGCACTTCAGTTATTGTCCTAGGTAAGTAATAACTGTCATTTGAATCATTAAAACATGTTAAGTCATTACATTTCATTATAGGAGTTCTTTTTCTTTCTTTCTTTCTTTTTTTTTTTCTCTTTGAGACGGAGTCTCACTCTGTCACCCAGGCTGGAGTGCAATGGCACGGTCTCGGCTCCCTGCAACCTTCACCTCCCAGGTACAAGTGATTCTCCTGCCTCAGCCTCCTGAGTAGCTGGAACTACAGGCATGTGCCAGCACACCTGACTAAATTTTGTATTTTTAGTAGAGATGGGGTTTCACTATGTTGGCCAGGCTGGTCTCAAACTTCTGACCTTGAGATCTGCCCACCTCGGCCTCCCAAAGTGCTGGGATTACAGGCGTGAGCCACTGCGCCCAGCCCATTATAAGAGTTCTTGCTAGAGAGTTACATTAGTTATCAGACTTTTTGCATCAGACATAATAGAAGATTAATTCTCAACCACTCTGTCTTTAAGTTTGCATGATTCCTTATCTACAATGACAAACAAATGCCATTTTCAGTGGGTAATTTCTCATTTTGGAGGAGATTAAAAGGATGAAAAATAGCAATAAAAGCTTTTGTGTGGAGAGTTCCATAGCATGCAAATGGATATGGTGAACATTACTTTTTAATAAATGAAGCACCATCATGATGGTTTGGAGGAATGCTAGCCGTACTTAACATATCCATCCATCTCAGTGTTCTTACGTTTATTCTGTTTAGAAGATGGCTAAATCTCAGTGGAGAAAGCCTTAATTTCCTTTCAAATGTCATTGGCTTGGAATGCTTTGATCATGCTGAGATACGTCCAACCCCTGTCATGGCAATTCTCTGATGATTTCAGGCTGATTTGCTTTGTACATCAAAGGCAGGGAAAGACCATTCTACAACACATGATTTTGGCTGCACATTTTGAAGTCTCTTGAATACTCATGAGCTATATTGTTATAAGAAGTGGACCACTGTTACACACTTAGAAAATATGGTGACTAGTTGTATCCCAGACATTCTCTTGCTATTTCTGAAAAGCAAGGATTCTTATGTCTCTTTCTCAATTATTTTATTATTATGTTCAAAATAAGTAAGCTACTTTAAAACTATTACAAAACATGATTTCTAGGTAATGTTCGGATAACATCAAATTTTGATATCATCATATTGTCATAACATAAAACTCTAAATAATAGAAAATTGAAACTCAAGGACTATAATAAGAGTGATGATCACAATGTTTATAAATCCACCAGTATCAGCTCTTACATTTTGAATACTGTAATAAATCGTATTCTAGGAAATAGTAATAACTCTTGGTTACTCTAATTCTATTCTTTTATTTCAGGATGTAAGTCTCCTGTAGATCTTTGATACTTTAATTTTTGCTCTTGGTCTTTTGGTCAGTTTATTCAAGGTGTGTTTAGTGGCCAGGTAATTAACAGAAAAAAAAATAGAAAAGTGCATGAAGTTAAAATTAGCCAACTAATATCTTATTTTTTTCTTTTCTTTTCTTTTTTTTTTTTTGAAATGGAGTTTCACTCTTGTTGCCCAGACTGGAGTGCAATGGCGCGATCTCGGCTCACTACAACCTCTGCCCCCCGGGTTCAAGCGATTTTCTTCCCTCAGCCTCCCGAGTAGCTGGGATTACAAGTGCCCACCACCACACCCAGCTAATTTTTTGTATTTTTAGTAGAGACAGGGTTTCACCATGTTGGCCAGGTTGGTCTTGAACTCCTGACCTCACGTGATCTGCCCACCTCTGCCTCCCAAAGTCCTGGGATTACAGGCATAAACTAGTATCTTTAAAAGAACAATAAATTTACAGAAACTTTCATCTATTGATTCTGATAATAATAAACCAGAATTCTGGAAAATGCAATATTTCTACTTCCTATCATCACCATTATCACCATCATTAGAGATGAAAGATAAGCAATGTTAGTAATAGCAGTGTTAGAATATAGCTGTGTGCAATAGATTATCAAAATAGAAACCATGGCTGGTATTTATTGGGCACTTCCAATGTAGTCGGTATTTTTTTTAATACATAGTTTTCAGAACTGTCCTGCTAATTATATTGAATTATTATCATGATATTACAGATGAAGAAACTGGAAGTCTGATAAACTGTCTAGAGTTCAATGGCAGATGATCATCAGAGCCTGTATTTTTTAACTTTTGTGCTCTACTCTCTCCTGTGTAGAATATTATACCTTCACTAGGATTGAGCTATCTGATAATATTTTTAAAGTTTCCCCAATAATACTTTGTTTTTTCCTCCTGAAAAATCTGTTCTAATTATGGAATAATCTAGTCAAATATTCAAAAATATCCTTACTATATCTTGGGGTGGGAGGTGTACAGTTGTTTTCTAAAGATTTTAAAATGGCTATAATAAAACAATGATTCTATTACTTTAAAAGTATGTAAATATTTACTACTTGTTTAATTTTGAGTGTTTCTTTTTAAACCTTTTTGGTTTTTTTTCACGTCAGAAATATATATATGTTTTATGACATACATCAACTGATAGAATTTTATGAAATTTCATGTTTGAAAATCTCAGATGATTACAGCATATTCCCAAATTCAGTATGATAGCCGCCATTAAATCTTATATATACTCCAGTCACTGATGAAAGCCTGTAAACCTAATTATATGTTGTGATTCTTTAGTAATTCATTAGAAAAGGGGTATTTTAAATAGTATTTGGTGAAGTCCCTATAAATCTCATGACAGTAATATTCAGCAACTACATTTACTTATTCAGTGAGTCATCTTCAGATTTCATAACTTAGCAAACTACACATATACCAATTGAATGTTTGTGTGTGTTGGTTGAACTGAATCATAAACATGGAAAAGACTAAAAGATAAGATATACCTAAATATTTTAGAAATATGAAAATATAATGCAATGCAGTTTTAAAAATTATGTACTACTTAATGTACTGCTATTTTTTATTTTTTTTGGATTCGGGGGGTACATGTGAAAGTTTGTTACATGGGTATATTGTGTAATACTGGGGTTTGGGCTTCTATTGAACCCATCACCCAAATAGTGAATATATTATCATTATCCAATAGGTAATTTTGCAACCCTTTCCCCCATCTTTCCCTCCTTTCTTTGGGAGTTACCAATGTCTATTGTTTCTGTCTTTATGCCAGAAGTAATGAGTACCCAATGTTTTAACCCCCATTTATAAGTAAGAACATGTGGTATTTGGTTTCCTGTTGCTGTGTTAATTTGCTTAGGATTAAGACCTCCAGCTTCATCTGTGTTGCTGCAGAGGATATGATTTCATTCTTTTTATGGCTGAATAGTATTCCATGGTATATGTGTGCCACATATTCTTTATCCAATCCACTGTTGATAGGCACTTAGGTTGATTCCATGATTTTGCTATTGTGAACACTGCTGGGATGAACATACAAGTGTGGTTGTTTTTTTTATATAACAATGTTTTTTCTTTTTCTAGATACCCAGTAGTGGAATTGCTGGATCAAATGATAGTTCAACTTTTACTTCTTTGAGATATCTTCAAACTGTTTTTCATAGAGGTTGTACTAATTTACATTTCCACCAACAGTGTGTAAGCATTCCCTTTTTTTCTGCATCCTCACAAAATCTGTTATTTCTTGACATTTTTATAATGGCCATTCCGAGTGGCATGAGACGGTATCTCATGTGGTTTTAATTTGCATTTCTCTGATGATTCGTGATGTTAAGCATTTTTTCATATGTTTGTTGGCCGCTTGTATGTCTTCTTTTGTGTGATGTCTGTTTATGTCCTTTGCCCGCTTTTCAAAGTGGTTGTTTCTTTCTTGTTGATTTATTTAAGTTCCTTATAGATTCTGAATATTAGTCTTTGTCAGATGCAGAGTTTACAAATGTATTCTCCCATTCTCTAGGTTGTCTGCTTGTTCTCCTGATTGTTTCTTTTGCTGTGCAGAAGCTCCTTAGTTTAAGTCCCATTTGTCAACTTTTGGTTACTTTGCGTTTGTCTTTGAGGTGTTACTCATAAATTCTTTGTTCAGGCCAATGTTCAGAAGAGATTTTCCTAGGTTTTCTTCTAGGACTTTTATAGTTTGAGGTCTTACATTTAAGCCTTTGATTCATCTTGAGTTAATTTTTCTATATGGCGAAAGGTAGGGGTCCAGTATCATTCTTCTGCATATTGCTAGCCAGTTTTCCGAGCACCATTTATTGAATAGGGTGTCCTTTCCTTATTGTTTATTTTTGTTGACTGTCGAAAATCAGTTGGCTGTAGATGTGTAGCTTTATTATTCTGTGTCCATTTTTATACCCATACCATGCCTTTAAATACATTAGAAAATGAGTAGAGTGGTTTAAACAAAGATAATTGGGTATAAAGATGTAATACTTTAATACTAAATTCTATTTATAATAATTATTGTAATTGTTCTTAAGCCTTATGAAACATGAATGGTTAAAACTGTATTTAAGCTTTTATTTTAGAACTTGTTTTATTATTAACAATTCTATTTTGCATTTGTAGTGTGCTTCAAAAATAATTTCATAAAATAATGAGTCACCTGTTAAATATATAATAAGAATGATCTGAAAGCTAAATAAGTGAACTCTTCAGACATTATTGGTGAGAATTTACTGTTGTGAACTAGTTGATTACCCACTCCGAGTATATGAATGTGATTGGTTATAGAAAATCCAAACCACAGAGCTCATTGTCAACTGTGTTTCTTTAATTAAACTATTATGAGATTATTAAAGTATCATGTTGTATAGACCTTCAATGGTGCTGAAAAGCAATGTCTCACCCATTTACAAATTATACACAATACGTGTTATCTTACCTGTATATTACTGTATTACATTTACATATATTTAAATATATGTTTACATTATGTGTTATTAATATAATGCATAAAACATACAAATATATTTATAATACATTACACATGTTATAAATTTGATATCTAGTATATATTATATATCTTTAAAATCACAATATATTTTATTTATTTTATTTTGTGATATTGCTGAATTAAGAGGTATTTGAGGAAGGAGAGGTGATGCCCTAGATGTGTATGTTGTAATTTCAGAAATATTAAAATATGGAAAAAAATGTTCATCTTGGAAGCCAGGTACATGAAATATATTCCTCCAATTGCAAATCTGAGCCCAGATATAATTTTTTGTGAGATTTTGGAAACTATGCATTCACTTAAGAATTTCTTCATTTACACTGCTTCTTTGAAATTAGTCAGTTTGTTATATTCTACGAAAAGCTCATGATCCTCATGAGTGGTGAGTGTTATCAAATCTTAAGAATGTTATCAGAGGCTGGGCGTGGTGGCTCACACCTGTAATCCCAGCACTTTGGGAGGCTGAGGCAGGTGGATCACGAGGTCAGGAGATCGAGACCATCCTGGCTAACACGGGGAAACCCCGTCTCTACTAAAAATACGAAAAATTAGCCAGGCGTGGTGACGGGTGCCTGTAGTCCCAGCTACTCGGGAGGCTGAGGCAGGAGAATGGCATGAACCCGGGAGGCGGAGCTTGCAGTGAGCGGAGATCGCACCACTGCACTGCAGCCTGGGCGACAGAGCGAGACTCCGTCTCAAAAAAAAAAAAAAAATGTTATCAGATTGAAAGCATATGATTTGGACTAATTTCAAAATGAAATTATGTATTTAAGCTATGTGTGCTTGCTGCACATTTCTACATTGTTAACAATAGTTTTGTAACAATTGGTTTCTTCAACAATTTACCAGGAAACGGCCCCTCTTTGTTTCACTCTTGGCTCTATGGAAATGGTCTTTGTATGAAATCTGGAATCCATTCCCAGTATAAAGGCAAGCTGACTGGCACCAAGTCTATGAAGCTGAACATTTATTCAGTATACTTAGCCAAAACAACTCACTTATCAGGGAAAAACAATCATCTGGGACTGCAAATTGGTTTTCCATGTTGATTATAGTGACATTAAGTAGAAATGACTTCAGTTTCCATGTTTAATTGTTATCTAGTCCCCTCCTGATCATAAGTAGAAATTATACCAACTCTTATTCAAATATCAAGAAAAAGCTTTTTAGAAATTATTAAAGGAAGTGTCTACAAGTACACAAGTATATACAATCAAAAAAGACAAAAAATTACATTTGGACATTGCTATTTGACCTATTTTCTTCATCTAAATGGTACCCAATAGAAAAATGTAAATTTATGCTTCAAGATAATATGGAGGGCTAGTACTGTATATTACTTGTTGCCCATGGAGCTGAAAAAATCCTCTTTTAAGTAACCATTTAATATATTTATTGTATTGTCTTCTTTAGTGAAGGCTTTACTACCATTTAATGGTTCTTTAAGTATCACTTAATGAACATATATTATGTATGCCTGTCATAATTTCTATTTGCAATATATATACATATACTATATAATAGATATTATATATAAAATAGAAAGTATGTATAACACTTGGATTAACTCATATTACAGCATATGTATTATATTTCCCATTTAATAGATAGGAAAACTTAAGATTAGGGAGATTCTTTGTACATTTATTAATTTATCATTTAAATATTGAGCTTTCTCTTGCCAATACAATTTGCTAGGAAATACATTAGAGTTAAAAAGCAAATGAGTTTGTTTTAATTTCGATATCTCTGAGCCCAGTACCTAAGGCAGTTGGTTTTTTAACATGCTCAATAATATAATACCAAATTGAATCCAGCTTCCAAAAACTGTGTGTTTGTATCATAACTTGTGCATGAATGAAATATACTAACAAGTTAATGTAAATCCACAGAAAAGTCTATGTACTGTCAAAATATTTTTCTTGTAATTTTTATCTTCAGACTACTTAAATAAAAACTCATTCAATTTGATTTAGGGTATATATTATTTCCACACATATCTATGGGAGATGTTTACAAAGATGCAGCAAATTGGAATTTGGTTTGGGCCTTGAATTGCTCTTGGATTATAAAAGGAGAAAAACCTTGTGTTGCTTTAACATATAACAAAGGTTTTATTAATATTCTGAGAAGCTATGTACAATGTGTAAATGGAAATCTCTCTTTGCAGCATTCTTTCGTGGTTCTAAATTGTGCCATGACTGAGGTCATGCCATGATGTTTAGCATGGTTTGTAAAACTCTAATAGCTTCGCTTTTTTGACAGATTTTTCATTTAAATATTTGGCTCCACTTACATAGGACGTTGCCATCATTTGTAAGCTTCCCTCTTTTTTGTCTTGTAATCTCTGCAGGATGAAAAATGTTCTGATGCTATGGAAATTATTCTAGCACAGATGCATTTAGATTGTGGAAATTGCTTTGGGTTGTTTAAAGCAAGACATTTTTTTATTGTTTCCATGATGATCGGATGCTTCATTAACCCCTTTATTGTTGACATCCTATGGAGACTCGATATGTAGTCTTAATTATTTTAAAAGACAATTCTTTGTTATTTAGCTGGTGATTAAAAACACATTAAAAGATGGCACAGAAAGACTATTTTTGTTCATTACCCAATCTAAAAATCTAATCATGTAGTAAGAGACTAATTTTCACATAATTCTTAAAACAATAAGTACACTACTGTAGGAATTATTTGTGCTGCCTATATCAGTTAACCAAACTGCACCAGAGAGAGTGAGACAGTGATTATTTTCTATTAATCAAATGGAAAAGTCAAGAGTAGATACCTCTGTCAGTGCTTTTAAGAAAGTGAGTGAATTTGTGAGATGAACCTAAATTATTTGAATGTAAGTATAACAAATTCAAGGAAGAAAAACAATGCACTGAAAACATATGAAGTCAACTTAAAAGAAACAGCCCAAGGGTGATGACTCACATCTGTAATTCCAGCAATTTGGGAGGTTGAAACTGGAGCATTGCTTCAGCCCAGGAGTTCAAGACCAGCCTGGGCAACATAGCAAGACCTCAACTCAAAAATAATAAAATAAAAATTTTTAAAAAAGAAATTGATCGCCCAAGAATAGCATTACAGGTTTTAGAGAAAAAGCTCGAGGACAGAGATACTGTGTCTGTCATGGAATGTACATTGATACATTGGAATGGGATCTATATTAATACATTCTAATGCAAAAAATTACACTCAATCTTTTCATAAATATAACCCAACTTACCTTTATGCTTATGACATACAAACATTTTCTTTAAGTGTTCACTTATACTGGAATATTCCACTTCAAATAATCTTTGCAACTTTAATAATAAAGGAAAATTTGATTACTATAACTTCATTTTAGAAGACATTGTATATATTACACCTGGAATATGCAGTTATTTCAATTGTGTACGAATTGCTAAGCTTTTAAGAGGAATAAATACCTTTTGCTTTAATGTCAAGATCCCCTCTAGACCATAACACCAGTAGTTCTTGCTTAAAAATAAGCAAATCTCCTAGGAGCAGGTTTTTCAGCTAAAAAGTTTCCCTCCCATAAACTAAGTAGTTATGCATATACTATCATTTTAACCCTTAGCCAAAACTTCACCATGTAGATATTGTGTCCATAATATAGATTAAGAAACTGAGACATAGAGAGATTAAGGTTGACAGGTAATAGATGATAATAGATGACAGTTGTTTTACACAGATTCTGTCGAATTCCAAAGCCAATGACCTAAGTATTATACAATACTACTTACATATCAAAATCCCCCATGCCATATTTTTTCAGTCGGTAAGAGGTAAGAATCTAATAATCAGAGTATTTTTTATCCAATGTAAACTATTCACAAATATAGTTTCATTTTAATCTTACAAAACAGAGTCTTCTTTTCTTGAGAAAAATATTTCCATGTTCCATTGACTATTATGCATTTAACCAGCATTTATTATGTTATTACGCATAGTGACCAAGGCTCTGTGGTAGGGTCTGGCATTGACTTCTGTGTGGGTAATTACACGACTCTGGATTATGTTAACATCTGTAATATGTCATATATGTCTAAAGTGACACATGCTCTTGAATTATTAATAAGGAAAGGGAAAATATTAAGTTTACAAAAGACAGTTCACCCTTCCATTTTAGCATTTCCAATTATGCATACGGAAACAATCTGACTGCTCCCTACCACTGAGACTTTGCTTTCATTATTTAACCATTTAAAGGCAGCTGTAGCAGTTTTTAAATCTCTCACATGTGAGTGATATCTAATTTTAAATTTAATTGAAGACATGTAAGACAACTGGCTTCTGCTAAGTTTCAATTGGGTTTCATGTAAAAATAACAATCGCCATCAATAAACTGACTAGATGGCAACTTGGCTACGGAAAAGAGATAAATGGGATTCTAAAATGAGGGAGGCCCCACATAATGAGGGTCACTTAAGAGGTACATGTGTGATTTGTATTGATGAATAATAAATTCATGTAAGTTACGCAATAAATCATGATGCATGAGTTTTCACTATAAATTCCAAGAGCATCAGTCTTACATGATGGAACACAGCTGCCCTTCCCGAGCAGATACTTCAATCTATCATATTGAAGAACAGAGCATCTTAAAGGAATGAGCAAGGCCTAGGGTGGGGAGAGCTTACATTTTTTTCTTACAATGTACTTTCTAAACACAGACTAGAAATACTACAATAGAGAACAAACCTCCCCCTCCTCCCACCTAGGATTTTATAACAGCCACTTCTGCACGGTTAAGACTTCTATTTGCCAGGGAGGCAGAGAGAAAAAAAACAACTTTCATTTCTATCCTTGATGACCAACAATACCAAGGACTTTAAACCCCTGTGGTGCTCTGTTGATGAATATAAACATGAACATAGACTAGACAAATACATGCACTATAGGTTTGGCCTTATTTTAGAAATTTTTTTAAAATTATTTTCACTAATAATGTGACTTTTTATTAGCATTGAAAAATATAATCGATATTTTAAAAGAGCTTATTCTTTGAAATTATCTGAATCATGAAGCTATTTTGCAGCTATCTTCTTATGAAGAAAAGATATCTTCAAATGGATGAAATTAGAGTTGAAACAAATAATGAACTGAAAGAAGGAATTAGTGACTAAGTAAAGTCATTGCTTGTCCTACAGAAAATTCAAGAATGTGTTCACCCTTAAGATAATTAAAAATGTAAACATGGATATTACCCATTTTGGCCATTAAATGCATTTCTTCTTTTATTAGAAAGTAGAAGCCAAAAATAATATAAAATAGAAAAATAATCTCAACTCTGAGAATTAACTTGGTAGGTCAGCCCTACGTTACAGAAAATGTAATGAACAATTGGCAGTCATCCAAGGGATTTAGGTGGTACTCAACCAAATAATCTAATACAAAGATAATGCACTAATCTTGAGGATTCAGAAATGACCTGCTATCATCAAGACAGCATCTCATAAACCTTTTAAGCTGACATTCATGAAATTTTTAGTTCTTCAGTCTTACTTCAGATCATTGTAATAACAGAAGCTTGTGGTTCATGCCAACTCCATTGAACAATAAGATAAATGGCAGTGTGGTAAATAAATGCAAGAGGAAACAGTAATTTTCCAGTTTTGGTTCAAGTTCTAAAGAAAAGGAAAAAAGTTTACCCCTAGGTAGTATTTCCTTACTTGGACAATCACTATGTTTAAGATATTTTCTTTTCAATTATAATATATTTCTTTGGACATAACCAGTAATTAAAAATTAATATAATAATCCATGTTATAAAACTGTAAGTTTCAGGTGTTAACTTATCTTTATTTGCATTTAATTTTTACAAAACAGAAACAGTTATAGAAATACTAATTTTTATGTTGCTTAATGAATTATCATAAAGCAAATACCTAGGTCAAGAAATAGAACTTTGCCAGCCACCCCAGAAGCCCCTTATTTTGTCTGTTAACAAAAGCAAGTACTATTCTGACTTTTATGGTAATTACTTCCTTGCATTTGATAATTTATTATCTAAGAATACATCTCTGGATGCTAATATTTAGTCTTGTTTAATTTTTAAAACTGGAATGTTTTTAATTACACAGTTTTCACCTCCATCCTCTTTTACTCCTTTTTATCTGTTGAAGAAAGCAACCATTTGATCTGCTTTATCTTACATTACTCATAATATATGCTTAGAATATTGACACTACAATACAAATATTAACACCAATAAGATAATTGAAAATGATTTATATTTTTGTACACAATCTTTTCTCATGTCTACATCATTATAGCATATACCCATTACATATCTTACTCACTCAATTTAAACTTTCCATTTAGTTTTTGCGCTACATATGATTCTATATTTAATGCTCACTACTAGTCTTTCTGCTGGTGTCTTTCCAGTCACCATTGTTGTCTGAAGCTCATTCTCTAGTAAATTCCTAAGGACACAGTGATGAAACCAGTTGCCTGCGTTCTTGCATGTTGTCAACAGTTATCTGTGCCCTTTATGATCAAAAGCGAATTTTTCTGAATATAAAATATTTTTTCACATTTTCACCCCACAGTATTTTAAACATATTGCTCCATTTTCTTCTGTCATAAAATGTTCCTGTCAAAAGTCTTACGATAGTCTAATTTTCATTTGCTATTTTTGCCTAGAGCCACTAAAGTTTTCGCTTTGTATAATTTATCTTTATTTTAAAGTTTACTGATTTTACCAGAATATATGGCAGGGTTGATTGTTATAAACAAAATGAAAAGGTATGTAATGTGCCCTTTTATATCTGCTTTTACTTATTTTTTAGCTTTCAATAATTTTTTTTTGAATTAGACTTTTTAGTATGCAGTCTGTTTGCTGGCTTCTGGCTTTGGTTTTATTCAAAGATTCTTTTACGTATGTGTTGAAAATTTTTAATCTATTTTTAACATTTGTCATTTTTCTCAAATAATTTTTATCTGTTTATTAATTACATTTTAATTTTTACACTTTTTCTCCTTTTCAATTTCTACTTCTTTGAAGATATTTTATGTCTTTTTTTTTTTTTCAGTTTGTTTCTGTCCTCTGGTTTTGTTTTATTTCTGAATTGAGCTTTTTCTTGTGTCTGGAATTCTCTCTGGAATCCTGCCATAACATATCTGAGGTTTCCTAGTTATTACTTATGTAGTTATTTAATACTTCATAACAGTTTTTCAAGGCTTTAGCTCATTGTGAAGTAGGTTTGAGTTGTAATCTATGTTATGGGCATTTTTTTCTGGTTATTACATGTCCTAGATGGATGCTTTTCTACTCAACATTCTCTTTCTTCTTTGTAATTATTCCACATTGAGTGTGACCTCGATACTTTTCAGAAGCTCATTTTTAATTAAAATTAGTCTTCTTGAGGTTTTAGAGGGTATAAATTAGTTTAGCCTTCTTACTTCACAGCGTTCCCTCTTCTGTTTTTGTGAGAGGTTCAAAAATTTGGTAACTTGCTTTTGGAGATTTTTCTGGCTCTTTGCCGGTCCCCACTTCTATCTACCTTCTCTTTCCAGCCTATTTATTGTCCCTATCCTATTGAATTTTGATAGTTCTACCAGATGTTTGCCCTCACTCTCCTGGAAAGAAGCCCTGGCTCATGAATTGCAGAATTTACCAAAGACTTTTTACACCCTGAGTTTTCAAATTAGCTCACGGCGAGTACCAGTGAAAAATACTGCCTATTTCTGGTTTCTCCCCTTCTCAAGTCCCTCTGACACCACGTTGTTTTCCTCTGCTTTCTTTAGCACTGTTTGATGTTATGCAGATTGTCTTGCGGTTTTTCTATCACTTGTAGTTCACGGCTTAGTATATTTGTAAATGTTGTCTGTGTGTTTTGGATTTTCCATTAGTAGCTTTGTCTTCTTTTAAATAGAGATTCAGGAGATCCGGATTCCACTATTGTCCCAGAATCCTCCCAGTAATATTAATATGAACAGTAAAAATAAATCCTATTTGAGTTTTTTAAAAATATATTTGCTAGGCATTGTTATTAGTAGTTTATGTTAAATTACCTCACCTAATTCTCATAGTAACACTGTTGGGCACTATTATTAATCTTATTTTACAAATGATTTTAACAAAAAAGTAAATAATTTACCCAATATCTTACATTTAGAGAGTGGTAGAGCCAAAAGTTAAAATGCCTGTTTAGTTAATCCCAAAGTTCTTTAGACTTCTGGTGTTAATAACATGTTAAGAATCCTATAATTTATAGTATGTGACAATATAAAGACAAACATTTTTTCTGTTTTTGTTTTAAACAAATAGTAATTTATTTTCTCATTAAAATGGGTAGTGTTAATAGTCATAGTATTATCTAGAGAGTCATTTCATTTTTCTCTGTGATACTACTTGCTGTATTTACGATTGTTAGAATGAAATTCAAGAGTTTTTTTTAAAACTTCACAAAGCTCCCTCTTGTTGTTTGTCTTTTTTTAAGTATTCTGAAATATATCCTGGCTTATAAGGGCTTTGTTCATTTTCTTATACTTTTACAAGTGAGACAGAAAGATGGGAAGTAGCTTTTCATAAAATATAGCCAGCCAAACACTACCAATTTCATTTGCTCTAGCTCCATAGGACTGAGAGACAGAGTCACAAAGAAGTTATTAACCAAAATGCCAAAATATCCTTCCCTGATAACTTTTGGTAATAACAACAGACCTTAATAAAAAGAACAAGAAGAAACTCCTTGCTGTAGATTTTGTCTGGGATCCTTATCCACTGGCCTTTTGTAGGTTATGTCACCACTGTGCATGCTGTAGCCAGATATCTTCAGGTTCATCAAATATCCTTTTGCATACTGATTCTGTTTCATAGATAAGGGAAGCTTATTCTTTCCACCTTCTCTCACCTGTACCTTTGTTCAAAATGGCCATAAATTGCTCACAGCCAAAAAATTACCTAGAACTCTGCAACAAAATGATTAGCTAGGAACAAAATAAATAACAGAAAAATCCTTATAAGTATGTAAAAATACTTGGTTTGGAGACCAAGCATTATTTGTTGGTGAATAAATTCTAATAAGGTCACATTAAATAATCTCTATTTATTTGATTCTGATTCTATTTCAATATTGTCTCTTCTTTAGAATTATATTTATATTATAGCAACACGCTTCTGACATGCGAACCCTAATATGTCTCCACAGAATGCCTAACATTCTGATATATCGAGTCAAATATTGTCATTCAAAGGCATACTAAAACCGAACTACCTTCTAATTAAGGGACAAATAGTCATTACTTTTGTTAAGTATCAAACTTATACAGATGTTTATTTTCAAAAGCTTTGTGTTTTACTTTCTTTCTTGAATGCAGTTTCATGTAAAATGACCATATTCTGTTAATGAAAAGTCAGGTCATGTGATATGATAAGTAGTAGAATATCTAAAAGTAGAATTAAACAAATTGTGGGATATGTGGTCAGTTCAGGAAAATATTTTGATGAGTCTTGCAAATATAATATTTATATTTCTTAATGGAAGAGTTAATGAGGACTGTAGAATCACTGAGCTATGAACTACCATTGCAATTACTTTCAGACTAAGAATGTTACATATTTGCTAAGTTCTGGATGCTTTTGTCCAACCCCCACCCCAAATTAATATATTGAAATTCTAACTTCCAAGGTGATGTTATTAGATGAGGTTATTGGGGCTTGGTTAGGTTATCAGGGCAGAGCCCACATGAATGGCATAGTGTCCCTGTGAAAAAGAGACCCAAAGGAAATCCTTCACCTCTTCTGCCAGAAGAGGACACAGCAAGAAAGCACCATTTATGAGCAAGCATGCCCTCACCAGACACAGAATATGCTAGTGCCTTGATCTTAGACTTCCCAGTTTCTAGAGCTGTAAGCAAAACATGTCTGGTGTTAATAAGATACTCATTTTATAGTACATTTTGTTACAGCAGTCTCAATGGACTAAGACAGTGCTCAAGGGATTTGCCACAAACCTTAAATCCATTGGTAGTCCATGCAGGAGGTATGCTGAGGACACATTATAAACCACTATGCCCAGAGCATCTAGTCTTTTTCTGAGGTAGAAACCCCAAAAGTGCATGTTTCTTGATTGAATTACAGCATTCATAACTACTGGATTATTGCTGTTAGGCAGTTAAAACTATTATACATGTGCTTCCATGTTAATTTTCACCAGCCATGTTACCTTTTATAATAAATAATGTCTTCATATTTGTATCACAAAAGTTTGATAACAAGGCTGGTGCAATGGCTCCTGCCTGTAATCCAGAACTTTGAGAGGCTGAGGCAGGAGGAATGCTTGAGCCTAGGAGCTCAAGACGAGCCTGGGCAACAGAATGAGACCCACCTCTCTACCAAAAAATAAAAGAATTAGTCAGGCGTAGTGGCACACACTTGTAGTCTCAGCTAGTCCAGAGACTGAGGTGGGAGCATCACTTGAGTCAGAGAGGTTGAGGCTTCAGTAAGCTGTGAGGTGCCACTGCACGCCAGCTTGAGCAGCAGAGCGAGGCCCTGTCTCAAAACAAATAAACACATAATTTGAATACAAAATAATGTTATCAAATTTACTTTTCTCTGACAGCTTAGCCACTATTCAGGTGAAATTATTCATTTTCGAGTCATTCCATACTCCCAAGAAGTGGCTAATTTGATGTCTCCTTTAAATTTCCTAAGGAATTTGGCAATGTGATAAGCCAAAATGAAATTTTGTTTGGTAGAACACTCAATTTTCACTTTGCTCAAATCTTTCAGCTAAAGTGATATTCAAGTTAAGCTTTTTCTTTCTCTTTGGTGGATCTTCAGCAGTAGCTCTGTCATTCCTTCATTCTCATTTAATTAACAGATATTTCAAACATCTACCTCTGGTCTGGCAGTATCCTGGATACCAGCAATGCAATCATGAGACTTTATAAACATGGTTTTAGTCCTCTTGGCATTGACACCCAAGTGATAGAGATCGTTGTTACATTTTTATTGTGCGATTATTTGATTTCAATTAGAATTTTAATAAAGAATATAAAGAAAAGGTTCAGAGTCCAGGGAGAGTTTAAAATAATTTTCTCTTGTTAAGAAGATCAAGAAACCTATATGATTAAAGAATATTTACGAATTAACTAGGGGAAGATGAGTGGAAAGAGAATTCCAGGAGAAAAGAAAAACAGTATTTATTAAAGATCTTTTGGAATCTATAGGCTCAGTCGGGTTCCACTTTAGAAACACTGGACTTGTGACACAATTATAACATTTAAACAAGGCTTCAAGTAGCTAGTAGGGTATATGAATCTAAAGCTCTAGGAAGATGTATATTGATGATAATGACATGAGTGCAGGTGAAATTCTTAGGAGACGAGTATAGAATGAAAAGAAGAAATGCATTGGGATAGAGCCTTGAGAAATTATGACATTAGCGTCTTGGTAGAAGCAATTGAACTTGTGAAGAAAAGAGAGAAGAGGCAGAAATACAGTAGCATGAGGAGGTGAGTGCATTGAGAAGAAAAAAGGACTCCTTTCCTCCACAAAAACATGACATACCAAAGCCCTGCTTCATGTGTTATTCCAAACATTGTGCTATGCAATCAGATAATTTTGAAGTGTAATTAATGGCAAGATTGCTAGAAATATCCCCAGGCTTCAAAACCCACAGTTGCAAGGATAGAGCAGGTGTGCAAATGCAATTAGTAGAATTTGTACTGCAGATCTCAATACAGCGATTCCATTTGAAAACACTATATCCTAGGATTATAAATTAGTGTGGGTTTTCTGTTACCAGGAAGTATGGTCCTAACATTCTTTTCCTTTTTATGCCTCTCATGAGGTTGGGCTTACTTACTGGTACTTATTATTGCATTTCATCTGATCTGGGTTGTCCAGACTCCACATACGATGACAGACAGCTGAATAATTGAAAGCCCATAAAACTTGTACACTGTCAGGCCTTCCTTTTAGCATCTATTCTGACAAGACGATTCAAAAATATAAGTTGATAAATCCTTAGGAAGGTAGGAGGAAAGTTCTCATGATTGAGGCTTTGAGATGGTCAGAATCTGGTACACAGGTCTGTAAATAATGGAAATCCTCACTAATGTGATGAGCCCCTTACCATGATGTGGTAACAAACGCAATTCAGCCTAGAAGCTCAGAATTGACAAAGTGTTAAAATGCTTTGAATATTAAAATATTTTTATTAATTCCTCGGAGATGATAACAATTTCCTGTATACCAAAAATTTATATGGTAAACAGGAGTAATTCATATTTTTCTTTTTAATGAACATCAGAGACTGAGGTCAAGTAACACTTTCTATTATTAAAAACTGTGTTATAATTTTGTTTTCTTGGTTCCAGTTTTAGCTAATTCTGGCTTGAGAAAGTTTGGTTTATGTTATTGATGCTAGCAAGTTTCACCTTTATCTAATTATTTTCTTGCAAGAGCTGACCTTTGCAGAAATATACGCAGAAAGTTAGGAAGGTTGGAATTAATCTAAATGACACTACTTTATTCTTTAAAATCTCCCTATTGATTCAAACTTGAACATGAAGGCTGTATCTTTAGGTTATAAACTTTTATATACAGTATCAAATTCTTCAAGTTTTCCAAGTCATATGACAGGCACAACATTTTTTTTCTGCAAGCAAAATAAGAACAGAAGGATGAAAATAATCCCACACTACACAGTTAAACATTTCAGTATTGTAAAACTTTCCAAAAGAAAATGATTGTTCATTAGACTTTGGACACCATTTTTATAACTGCAAATATTGCTTTTTGAACATTAATTTCAGTGAAATGAATAGTCTTCAAAAAACAGAAAAAAACTCAATTATGTTGAATTATAAATAATTTGTATCTGCATTAGTCCAATTAGCTATACATAATTTTCTCAACTGGCCTTCTCAGCAAATATGAAACATAGGTTACCAGGAAAGGAGGGAGCTCTTCAAAAACCATCTTCGCTGATGTTACACATCTTTTACAAACTCAGGAGGTATGGCCTATATTCATTTAAGATACAAACGGCATCTTCTCATTATTACATGTTTTCATATTTCTGCACTAAGTTCCTTTACTGTGTTTATTAAGGCAAATAAATGTTTGGTGAATAAGGAAAAATAAAAGCACAGTGTATTGATCATTTGTAGTTAGAAACTATGCAAATTTTAGAAAATTGAGTTTTTAGGCTAAATCAAAGTGATCACTTAGGTTAAAATGATTAGCCTAATGCAGAGAATCTGCAATCCCATTTCTTTTCTTTTATAAGAATGAGACTAGGACAGGAGGGAAAAAAGATTGGAAATTAAGACGCTCTGGGGTTCCAACCATGTTGTTGCACATGACAGATTTCATTCTTTTTTATGGCTGCATAATATTCCATTGTGTTTATGTACCACATTTTCCTTATCCATTCATCCATTGATAGACATTTAGATTACTCCAAATCTTGGATATTGCATATAGTGCTGCATTGAACATGGGAGTGCAGATGGGGTCTTTTTAAAGATGGTTATTAGTGGAGAAGAGAGAGGTCAGGTGACAAGATGAAAGACACTCCTTTTCACAATCAGGATCAGAAAGAAAATTTTAAAAACTGCATGAAAAGAATATTACAAAATGTTAGGCTTAGTTAAATATAAGAGCATAAAAAATTTTGGATACAAAATAGCTCCTATCAAGGACCATGGAGAATGGAACTTGCTTCCAGAGACTACACACACACACACACACACACACACACACACACACACACACACACACACACCCCGTATAGATAGATACAAATACATTCCATACGTAAAAGTGGACACATGCGCAAATACCCACTTATATTACCTTACGTGATTTAAAGTACAGTGATGGAAATGGTACCAGCCACTATCCTGGCATCTTCCTTCTCTCATAAAATATGGACACAGCATCTTCATTCAACTACACAGAGGTCTCATGTTACTTTCTTGTACTGCTAGTCAGGTTACGGATAGAAATCAAAGTAAAAGGAAGCAATATGAGGGCTGCAAAACAAACGACAAGATCAATCTTGACTTTCTTTTTAAGTCTAAAAAGAAAAAGAAGCCTTGATCAATCAACACGTATTTATTGAGTGAAAAATCTCATTAAAATCTTAAATGTTAATTTTGACCCAAGAATATTTTTACATCCTTTTAATTAGACCTCTAAGAAAATGTATTCTATTTGTGTGCTCTTATAGGCTAGTATAACATTAATCACAAGTGTCTTGGTAGATGATCTTATGCAATATGTTTTTTTCTTCTTGATAGAAAATACCACTTTCTTTTATGTCTGTTATGAGTAATTCAGTATTTGACTTTTCTAAAAAAAAACTTTTTAGTATCATAGGTAAGAATAATAAATGAGCTCTAAAAACCCCAGAACAAGTTGAGAAGGGAATTAAGCAAATTATTCTTGAGTCATTTTCTTTTTGTACTCCAGTTACATCTTAATCAGTTTAAGTTATTTTGGAGGTATAATTTTCTTTTGTAAGCACTAGCACCCCAAATGAGAAAGGCATTTTTAAATATATAGCCATTTATTTCTGTATGGTGACCACAGTTAATACTAATGTATTTGCATATTTCAAAATTGCTAAAAGAATTTTTCCCACCCTCACCAAAAAAAAGATAAGTTGGTGAGGTGATGAATATGTTATTTAGCTTAATTGAATCTTCCTACAATGTATAAATAGATTGAAACATCACATTTTACCCCATAAATACACACAATTATTTTTCTCAATTAAAAATAAATTAATAAAAAATAAAAGTTAACAAATAATAAATAGACATTTTTGTGGCTTGAGGTTATTCAAGTTTTCCAAGATGTTTAGCCAGTAGGAAATTATTTAGCTATTGAAATAATTGGCTGTTATTTCAAAATAGAAATAGAGATTATATAAAATTGACTTGCTTACTCTGTTTTGACTGTTTTATTCTCAAAACATGTAGGAGCTCCTCTGAGAACAGGTTAAGACAAACTATGAACATAGTCTTTTCTAAAGCTTGAATTTGTATGGGGACTAAATTCCTACTTTAAAACTTAGGGTAGCAAATTTTAAAAAATACAATCAATATGAAGAAAAGTTGTGGTATAAGCAAAGGAAAACTGCCTGGTACTGGTTAGAGAAGCAACAGGAATCGTGAAGTGACCAGGAAAAGATAGGCCAATATTTGCTAATATGAATAGTGTACTAGGCTTTCAAAAACAATATAGAAGTCCTGTGTTTCATTTAGTGAGTTAAAACCCTCTCAAAATGTCATAGAAACAATCTAACAAGGCTTCTCTTTCTCTAGTTTTTCACAGTAACAAGGTTAATCTAACCGTGAAATAACAGTGAATGCTTTCACAATTAAAGTTGTAAAATACATAAACCAACAGCTAATTAATCAGCCCTAAGGTCACTATATTGCTTGTGGTAAATTAGTAATAGCAAAGATTCATGGTAGAGAGAGAGAAATGACAGGTCATGCTCTGTGAGTTTCAATTTTAACTAGCAAAGACTGTCAGAGTTATATCTAAGCTGCAGTAGACTCTTTTTTTTCTTTTCAACAGCAGTGGAAGCTTGACTAGCATGAGAAACAATTATATTCTGAACATATTTAGAAAGCTCAAGTAACGATATCTTTTGTAGTTTTTAAATATGAGAAGAGACAATGAAAAAAATAATCTTACTTGGGTTTTGAATTTCTCTGCCACATAGCATTTCATCAACTTTTTCATGAAAGAAAGGCTGAGTTAAATACATGAAGCAAGCTTACTAGAGGATTTATTTAACCTTTAAAGCATTGTGGCATAAAAATGTCTTACTTGCCATATTTTTATGCATGCCCACTTCCAATTAACATACTGCTCAAGAAAAAGACAGATGAGAATCAGAAAGAGAAAGAGGAAGAGAAGGAGAAAAGAGAGAGAGAAAGACAGTAACTACATGAAATTAACAATATGAATATATTTTTGGAAATCTTTTTGTTTTAGTTATAGAAGCTGAAATTAATAGTTGCAAACCCTTATTTCCTTGAGGGAGCGTATATTTGGCATCCTAAATTAAAGGAAAGAAAGATAATATTTCAGGTGTATTAATGTAGTCTTTTTAACGTTACCATTGTATATATACATATATATATATATAGTGTACTTTGTGTTTGTGTGTGTGTGTGTGTGTGTGTGTGTGTGTGTGTGTATCCCAAGCACAATACTCCCCTACAAAAAGAAAGAAAAAATGTGAAAAAAATTGCCAAGTTGCATATTGTAAATAAAGTTAAATATGGAACAATGGCAGGGCACACTGGGGTTATTGATAATAAGAATTGATGTCTAGAAGACTGTTGGCTGTTAGTATACAATATGAATTTTGAAACTGTAAAGAGTTTCCAAGACTGAGATCAAAATACCTGTACACATTATGGTATAGCTGTACTTTAGAACTAATTTGGTGATTGTCAAAAAGAATTGGGCAGCTACATGGATATAGATATGAAAAATGTTGACCATAATTTATTAAGCAAAATGACATTGTTAAAAAATTATTATAGTATGGCTCCATCCATTGAGGAAACTGGAAACAGTAAGCAAACTATAATAAGATATTGATGTTTTTAAGATCAAATTAATGGGAACAGTAAAGAAATTAGAGCATCTAGAGGGAAGAGATTTGAGTTCAACAGAAATAATGAAGAATCTAAGCCATTACAGTACAGTATTTGTGGATTTGGCGAGAGAGATAATACATCCTCAAAGGAAGAGGAAGAAAAACACACATAGCCATAGCATACTTAATTTTTAATTTAGTGAGTGATTGCTTAGTTTGTTAAATGGTAGAATTGCAATTAGAATTCAGGGGTATTTTATAATCAAAATTAAGGGTTGCTTTCTAATCAAAATGTAAAAGTTATTCCAGATATCACCTATAAGGCATATAAAATTTTTAATATTAAAAAGAATAGGAGAGAAAATAACAACAAACTGACTCATAAACCCAGATAATTTTCTGATTATAATTGAAACAAAACAAAATTTAAAATAAGATGACAACATTTTAGAAA
Organism: Homo sapiens; assembly: GCF_000001405.40. NCBI lineage: Eukaryota > Metazoa > Chordata > Mammalia > Primates > Hominidae > Homo > Homo sapiens. The sequence continues at coordinate 164,575,182 of NC_000005.10, forward strand.
TATATCAAAAGAAATGTAAAAGCATCTTGAGAAGCTGATTCTCAATTTTTTATGGAAATTTCAAGAAACAAGAAAAGATTTTTTTAACTATTAACTTCATTTTTTTTAACTTTGAGTATTTAACTTAAGAAGTTAAGACTACTGGAAGCACAACAAATTTGAAGGAGTTGATCTGTCAGATAACAGAATTCTTATAAAGTTTGAATAATTAGTATAATTGAAACAAAGATAGTCTAACAGAAAAATTATGCATGTACAGAAGCACATCCAAACATATAGAGACACTTAGTATTTGACTTAGGTGGCATTGCAGATTTATTTGATTGATTGTTTTTAGTTTATTTTATTGATTTGCTTTGTTTACTTGTTTGATAGGAAGGAAGGAGGAAGAGAGGGAGGGAGAAAGGGAGAGAAAGAGGGAGGGAAGAAGAAAGGACAGAGAGGAAGTGGAGTGAAGGAAAAGGGTGAGGGAGGAAGAGGCGGAGGGAAAGTCAGATAATGCTAAGTTGCTGAGGATGTGGATCAATGGGAACTTTCATGTATTGTTGGTGAGAGTGTAAACTGGAAAAAAATTAAGTTATTTGAGTTATAAATAATGTATATCTTAACACCTACACACCTAAAGATATACCCTAGACTGAAGAAATGCATGAGTATGTTTGTGTACAAATATACTTTAGGCAGCTTTGTTAAAGTTTTACCCCCAAACTTGAAACAACAAAAGTATTCCTCTGTGTTAGAAAGGATAAATAAACTGTCCAATATTCACATGTGAATCAATAGCCATTACAATGGGTAAACAATATCTTTCTACAAACAATATGGATTAATCTCACAAACATCATAGTAAATCAAAGAAGCAAGGCAAGGTAATACATTTCACAACTGATAACATTGTAAAGAAAAGTAAATGAATTATTTTAAAAGCTTGGTTAATAATTACTTCTAGCAGGGAAATAGAAATTTAAGTCAAGAAAAGTGAGATGGAACCTTCTGAGTTAGTAGTATTTTTCACTTTATTTTTATTTGGGTGATGAGTTATTTGTTTTATAGCATTTGTTAAACCTTGTATTTGTTATATACTTTTTCTGTATGTACATTACATTTTACAAAGAAAGAAAGTGTTAAAATAAAAAGAACATCTATCTGCTATTTCCTAGCCCTTCAAAGTTAACTGTTAAATTTCATTGTGGTCTCCTCAAGGCAAAAAGTTATAACCCTTATTATCTTTTCTCTCTCTCTCTCTGTCTTCTCGAATATACACACATTTTAATTACAGAAAACAGATTAAACTTTATGTACTGTTCAGTACCTGAATTTTTCCTTCCTTAGATATCTATCTCTTAAGGCATTCCATATCAGGGCATACAAATTTTGAATACAAAATTATATAAATCTTCATGTAGATGTAGCACAATTTATTTAACCACTTCTGTATATTTGAGCATTTCAGTCTTACTCAGATATTTTTCCATCAAATAATGTTGCCATTAGTATAGTTTTATATAAAATTAGGTGACACTTCACCAGTGTATTCATGGGGTTTGCACTGGAATTACTGGGACAAAATTTTATATTGTCATAAATGTTGCCAAATTGGCTTCTAAAATGGTGGCACCAATGTCCTTTTCTGACAAGAAAAGGATAAAGAAAACCCATGAAATTTTTGGAAAATTTCCTGGAAACTCTTAATCTTTGAAGAGTTAAAAGACCTTTGGAATTTCTTTCATATTTATAAATACAAAATGTTTTAGAGTGTCAAAGTAATTGACAAATTCTTTAGTTCCTAAAAAATCATTATCAGATTAACTATATTATAGAAATATTAAGATAATTAAGTAATGTTTAGGTATAGTTTATAACACTAGACAAGATTTATGATTCCCTTGGGTGAAAGATAAGAGAAATGGTACTCTTATACACTTCTTAGCTTTTCTCTATCCATAACCTACTCTCTTATTATTGTATTAGCAATTGACAAGGTTTAAACTATGTTTGTTCTACTTTATAATTATGATAATGATTTTCAGAGGACTTAATTATATGTACCACAAATATGTTTTTACCATGGCATCTTCATTCTTCAGGCCCTTATTTTAATTCATCGTTTGGATGCTTGTATTTTATTGTTAAGCACTGTTTTGCAGTACGGTACTATAAGTAATTCTACTTGCATTTAAGGGAAACCTAAAAGTTGCAGCACATATGGGCCAATGGAATCTGACACTATAGTTGTGAATTTCTCAATAGGGAGTGAAAACTGCAATGAAAATAAAAGCTAAGCTGTCAAAACATTTAAGGTTGATCATTATATCTATATTTGCAGGAGTTAAAAAAATACCACTAGTTATCCACAGCTTTCTCTTCTCACCTATTCTCTTCTTTTCTTTCCTATTACTGTTTTCCTAGTCAATATATGTTACATGTATATATTCATTTATATATGACATATATAAAAATAAGTCATTTTGTGTAGTTTTTATTATTAAAAGGATTCTAGTTTTCAATGATTTCGTAATTCTGATTGACCCTCCTACTTTAGATATTTCTTCTCAGTCGAACAGAAAAGATACAATGATCAAAAAGTAATAAAAATATAATTTAACAAAATTCCAGTTCTAAAACAAACAAAATCTGGACCAACACATAATTATGTCAAAGGATAAAGCCTCATTTTGTGTGAGTGTGTTTTCCTGCCTAAGGGCCAGCAGTAATTGCTCTCATACATTCAGTTAGAACGTTATGCCAGAGAATTCTTGTGGGACACTCCTAAAATGAAGCTAAAATCGTTAATAAACTTGCAGTACTCTTTTGCATAAAGCTACTTGAAGTACTGTTTTGCATAAAGCTATAAAGCTGAGATGATATTGGGCAAATGTCTTTCTTACCCAGAGAAACTGATTCTGTTTTATTTTTATGCATGTCTTGGAGTTCAGATATTTACACACTCACACACACACACCATCCCAATGTATAACTAAATCAGAGGTGCAGTAAATCTATCTCATTAGTAAGAGTAAAAACAGTTTTGCTTGGCTTCTATTCACCTGTATAATGTGATTTCTTGAAGAATGAGATCTTAATTATTATGATTTATTCAGCATAGGAGTTCAAAGTTGCAGATTTTACATTTTGGTTTGAAAATTCAAAAAGGCCTTTTTCTGGGGAAAAAAGCCATTTCTATGATTACTTTATGACATACAGTTCACCTGAAAATTGAGTATATATAGCAAGTACATTTTTTATTTTAAAAAGTGAGCTTGCCTTGCTTTCTAACCTCATTCTTTTTTACATTTGATCCCATCTTTTCGTCCTTTCCACAGCTTTAATAAAATGGGAGATGAATGAAAACTGTTTGCAGACCTGATTATAAAGCAGTGAGCATTTCCTGTATGGGCACACGCACATATGAATCACTGCGCAAATGGATCTTTGATTACGCCTATGGCTTTATGCAAGTTATGATTTGTGATATCAGTGAGGCCCAGAAATCATTTTCAATATTTTCATTGCAGTGCAGATCAAACCTACTATGGAAAAACAAGTCAAGTGTTGTGCTAGCTGGTTGCTCTCCCTATCATTAACGGAGCATTTTTGGAGGTCCCCTTTTATTCATGTCAGCTGTATGGTTTAATTTAAAAGTAATTCCAAGCATTTAACACGCTTCCTTCATTTTAAAGAGTACTTCTTAAAAATGAAAAGGATTCAATCCCTTTTTGGAGGCAGACAGAGGGTACAATATAAATGTAAGTCCCATCAGTGCAGGTCTGATGGTTTCTGATTTAAATAGTTTTTATTAAATATGAAATGTCCAAATTACCTAATCATTGTCTCCTGTAAGATAAACATGGTTTTCCCAGGCCTTTCTCCAGAGTCTTATCTCAGAGCTGCAGGATGTCAGTTGATAGCGTTGCCTTCATGTTAGACAAGCAGACAAAATAATTTGATTGTACTGCTTGCCATGTTGTTCTAAGCAGTTCTTTAAGAACTAAAACCACTTTGTTTCTGGTGGCATGACAAAGCCCATTACTTTCATTTTTTTGAACTCCTTAAAAAGCTTCAACATCAATAAGACTGCTTTCAGAGCACACTGGTATAATGTGTCTAGTCTTGTCTAGTCTATCCGTCCAGAGGTAGACATAAAACAAAAGTTAGGATGCTAGGAAAAACGTTTTTCATGCTGCAAAAACATGGCAAAATTACAGGTAATTACTTTTTAAACTGACAATCACTGAAGAGAGTGTTTAAAGTTAAATTTTGAATAAATTATTCAAAAACCTATAAACCTATATCCAGATGCTGGCAGTAACTTCTGTTCTGTTTGAATAATACTTTGCAATGGTTATACAAATAGGAACAATGAAAAAATGATCAAAATAATCTTTACCATTATCTTCTGTGGGTAAGAGTGAAATGCTTTAATTTTTAAAACCTTAAATGATGTCTTCTTTTTCTTTTTTTTTTTTTGAGACGGAGTCTCGCTGTCGCCCAGGCTGGAGTGCAGTGGCGGGATCTCGGCTCACTGCAAGCTCCGCCTCCCGGGTTCACGCCATTCTCCTGCCTCAGCCTCCCGAGTAGCTGGGACTACAGGCGCCCGCCACCTCGCCCGGCTAATTTTTTGTGTTTTTAGTAGAGACGGGGTTTCACCGTGTTAGCCAGGATGGTCTCGATCTCCTGACCTCGTGATCCGCCCGCCTCGGCCTCCCAAAGTGCTGGGATTACAGGCGTGAGCCACCGCGCCCGGCCGATGTCTTCTAATTATTTAACACTTACTGGAAAGGAGCACAGAAAATGTAAATAATGAACTTAACATAATGAGACCTTTGTTTGAAGTAGCAGGATAAGTTAAGTGATTGAGTATATCTACAGGGTATATGTGAAGAAATAAAGGTCCTGGCATAAATTGATTTAAATACAAGTTCAAGGTCAGGGACATCTATTTTGTGACCATGTACAATCCATACTTTCTAACTCTTTTGTTTCCTAATTTATAAAATAAGAATATAGAATAGCTACATGAAGATAGGTTTGAGGATAAAATTAGATCATCCAGTCATCTAGCTCTGCATTAACACTAATGGACAGAAACCAGCATGGTCTCTGTGTTCAGGGAGCTTAGATTCTAGTTGAAAGAGAACAAAAATCAAAATCAAATCATTTTATAGATAACTGTAAAATCATGACTGCGATAAGAACTGTTAACAAGAGCCACATGATTTCATGAAAGTTTGTATTAGGAATAGTTTGATGCACTTAGGAAGATTAGAAAATATTTTTATGAGAACAAAACTGTTCTGCTGTAGTTTGATTGAATTTATTGGGTAAATAAAAAAAGAAAAAAAAACACTCCAGGTCGAGGAACTTCATATATAAACATGCTGTATCAGGGGTCCCTGAAAGACTAAATAATATAGAGAAAAGGCAGAATATAGTGAGATATGAGATAGAAAATGAGTAGATTGCACAGGGCTCCAGAGGATGCTCTAAAGACTTTTGTCCTGATCCCTTCAAGAGACTCCTTTGAAAGGATTTAGAAAGAGAGATGGTTTCCAATCTGCTGTTAGAAGAGACCAGTCTGAACCACCATAGAGGAACTGAACTTGAACTTGCATTGTAAATGTTCAAACACCACTAATGCTAGTTGTGCAATTCTAGTTTTGCTCACCATCCTTCTCATTGCCAAACTCTGCAGAAAATTTTACCTGTTTTCCTCTTTTTACTTACTTTCTTTTTATTTCTGAGTTAGGGACAGGACTAATGTAGATGTGATTAAATTAAACAATTTTAAATAAGTGTCAAATTCTTGGTGCAATGACAGGATAGGACCGATTTTTCAAGAAGAAAGACCATTAAATGGTTCTTAGATTTAGTATAAATGTTCTTTAAGGAAAAATAATTCTTGTACTTCAACACAATAGTAGCCCTACTCTTATTATGAAAGTGCATTATGATAAAGCAGCTATGAAGTAATATGTTTGAATGAAGTTGTATTTAAAATTTAAGATAAGAAAAAGTTACATTATGCTTAAGATTCATTACTTACTTTGTTTAAGCTACACAGAATGTTAGAATCTCTATGAATTCATTTAACCCTCTGGGTAACTCCACACACACACACACACACACACACACACACACACACCCCTCAATTCTTCTGGCCTCTGCTTCAGGAACAAATGGGAGAATCATTGTAGACTATAGATTGAACCATTGCAGAAACTAGCCTTCTCCTTTAGAAATCTCTCTAGTGTCCTCCTTTAAGAGAAATCTTCATTGCGGCCACTAAATAGCTGTAAATGGTGAAGTTACCCAAACCTCTCAGATACAGAATCTTCATCTGAATAATGAAGGCACTCAGTGGAAATGGCCAGTAAGGTCCTTCCAACGTGGTGCTATTAGAGACCCTTTAAATTGGGATTATGAAAAGACTCTCAGTGAGCTGCTGTTGAGAGAGCCATCAAAACTCTCTCCTTCTGTTCATCTGAGTGCCAAAATTATAAAACAGCACTTCAGGGAAATTGCCAACAAATTGTATCATAATGAATATACCTTTTTCCTCCTTAGTAGCAGGTACCTCTTCAAGTTTAAATTTTTCAAGGTATATCCCACAAAACTGTTTATATCCATCAAATTACAGTTACCAAGAATAACTGTCTTACTTTTTCACTACTGTGGATGTATGCCTTTTATAATAGAAAACATAAGGTGGGTTTTGTGTTTTTCTTTTTTTTTTAAACCTGAATTGGTGTGGGCATCTGGTTGAAAGGTGTTTCTCTTGCTTCATCTCTAAGTACTTGACTAACTTCTTAATTCTGAGGGATCAACACTAATTTCCAGTGTTTACCAGCAATCATCGATGACTAGCAGTTAAAAAGCCATCAGCCCTGTCACATTTTTCAAAGAACAGAATCCGTTTCCAGATGGCCCTTCATTTGGCTAATGGACAGCCTAAGGGGATATAAATGTCACCTGTTGTAGCTAGTCAACAGTATTAATAAAAACACAAAAATAGACCATTCAGCAGTGGCAGCAACCCAAAAATGTATTTATGAGTTTCTTTATTGAGTTAATTTGCAATAATCAACATTTTCACATTTTAAAGTTTCAATTCTTTCTCTTAATTTTCCCAAGCTATTGTTTACAAACACCAAAAGATAGACGTTAGAAACTTTAAAAAGTTGTTTTCAAAGGGTCAGACATTTTAAAACATTTGTACCCCAGAAAACAAATAAATAGTATTTCTCTTGTGAAAGATAACTGTCACATAAGTAAGCATACCTATACAGGTATATATTTTTTGAAACACTGGTTAAGATGTGAGCAATTTTACCTTTGCTAATTCATCTTCTACTAAATTACATCTTACAAACTATAAGGCAATACAACTCAATTGCTATTTCTCAATAGGCTGGGTTTTCTTTTCCCCCTTCTCTGTCTCCAGACAAATGATGCCATCTACTTGCAATGTGTTCTCAACTTGGTAAAATTTCTTCTGATTGTAAAGATCCAGATCACAGGTTCCCATTATCAAATGACCATTGTCTCTATATGCCAGTGACTGACAGGGCCACAGGTGCTCAAAAATGAAATGAATGGATGACTAACCCATTGCAAGGGGATTTTACTGAAGTCGTCTTTTCAAGTCATCCGCTGAGATGACAGTGTGGAGGATGTTGTCTAAATTATAGGAGGACAAACTAAAATCATAAAAGTATATGTTAAATTCTTACTTTTTCTTTTAATTTATATGGAAAATTTATATTTTAATGAACATAAAATAGAGAAATGTAACAGGCAGTATACATTTAAAAAGTCTGCTAGAAAGAAAACAAGCCAAAGCCTCTTAGCCTACTCTACATTTCTAGTTGTTTATTTCAGTGAAGTCAAGACATGCACATTCCGTAATTTCCATGTTTTATGGCATAAAATATATTCTAAAAATTACATCTTACATATTTCAAAAAATCAAATTATCTTTGATTTCCTAGCTTTCTAGTACATTTTGTTCTTAAAAATCGTAGAGTAATTTGAAAGCAAATGTCAACAATATGCATGCATAATATCATTATCTCTAGCACCAGCCTTAAGGGACATGGTAAGAGTTCAACAAGTCTTCATAGCTCACTGAGCAAGTCACTAGCAAAAAATTAAAGTAACATTTTTCTTCCAGGCTTGATTATGATGCCCATGTCCACTCAATCACCTTTAATCATCAAAAGAAGCATAATTAACAGTGGGAGATGGTCTTACCAATAGTTTCACATGTAAGGAAAAACCCACAAGATTAAAAACTAATTCAGATAGTCACACAATTATATTTACTGTGAATTCAAACAGTGCTTTATGAATATATTGCTTTCTTTTTTATATGTGTCTAAAAATAAGTAATAAAGGACTCAGAGACAATTTTAAATATAATTTGAACAATAGGATCTTTGCAGAGAATGTAAAATTGTCTTAAAGTAAGATTTCAAACATAGTATTACACAGGCAGGAACGTGTCTCTTAGTTGAAATCGAAAAGAAAAAACAGCCCCTATATTGGCATTTTATTTTGTGTATCTTAGAAACAGTATAGTCCAAAGTAATTGACCAAGAACCTTTGTCCAATTTCTTATTGCATTCTTAGCAAATTCAGTAAAAACATTTCAAATGATAATATTTAAGCAATTTTCCAAAAATATTTATTTTGGGTCTTGTAGTACATCAGAATAACAGGTCCTGAATTGATTAGTTATCTCTTTTCTACTTTTGTCTAAAATTAAAAAGTAAAGCCTAAAATCTAATTTAATCTTTTTTATTGTTATGAAGCCAAATAGTTATTAATGCACTTAACTGAAACGGAATCCTAGAAAATAGGCCTAACACAATACCTCAAATCCATTATTTTTCATGTGTATTCAAAACAACTTCTTCTTATGCATTTCTTTTTTCACTCCACCTTTTTTCTTAAAACCGTAATTATCTTTGTGTGTTCCTCTTCTCCCCCACACCTTGTACATTCAGTCTGGAAATATGTCATGTTGATTTTGCTTCTTTGGAATTCTTGGCTGCACAATTCTTCCTTTTTATCGCCACTGACACACTCATTTACCTGGTCTTCCATAACCAACCTTGATTTCTTTGTTTACTATTCTTTTTTATGCCCTCAGTACTTATTTTTACTTTTCATAATGTATGTATAACTTATTATATTTATTCATTAGTTCACCTACCATGTTGTAAACTCCCAGGGACAAAGCATACATTTCAATTCATAGTTTACGTACCCCATAGTAACAAGCGCTTTCCTCCACACATGTTCAATACATGTTTTTCAGGGAATTAAAAAAATGAATAGTCAGTGATACAGAAGCAGCTGCTTAATCCTGCTTTTTGCTTCAAGATCGATTTGATTATTAAAGGATATTTATTAAGCACCTACTGCATCCAGGCGTTAATCCTGGGGCTGAAGATTCAGCAATGAATATGGCAAATATGTTCCCTAAACTCAGATAACTTACATGTTGGGGAGAATACTGAAGATCAACAATAATGAAGTATTTGAGAAGTATTTCAAAAGACATATAAGAATTTATTTCCACATATTTAGAAAGTTAAATCTAAAACCAGGTCATTACTGTATTACCCAGCTAAATTAATCAATTAGCAACAAAATTGATTCTAGAAAGCAGACTATAAATTTCACTTGTGATTCACAGTGACCTTGGACAACATCCTTGGAATATCTCCATTTAACATTGTTAAATGAGGATGATTATTTTCATAATTGACTAATCCCATGATATTGATGGTAGTTAGTGTGTTGCTTTAACTCATTTATAAGAATTTAAATTTAACGTCGTAGTGTTTTGTTACACAGATGTTCTCTTGTTAGTCCCTAAATTATTTAAAGAAATATGATAGTACATACCTAATGAGACAACAGTGTATTCATAAAAATGAGAAGGGAATGGTTACTTTTTCTTTCTTGTTTTATTTTAAAAAGTGTACCTTTATGAAAGCAATGGCTGTCTTGTTAGGAAAGTAAGTCCCCCCTGTTTCAGTAAAGTGCATTAGTGACAATTTGGCTACTATAACAATATAAAAAAGATTAGGAGAAAACTGAGGAAGGTGTAGATGAAAGGCTAGATAACTGAGATTTATTTACATGAAGAACGAGAGTTCATATTAGCATCATACTAAATGCTATGCTGTTGAAGTTCATTATAGTGTTACCAATTATGTGATACTAGTAAATGTGATCATTTGACCTGCATTTAATTGTAGGTAATAATTCTTGAGTAGGTGATAAATTTGCTCCCTTATATCAGTATTTGACATTACCAGGAAATGTAAGTATGTATACCATGAACTATATGTTTAAGCATTGATACATTTATATATTGCAAAATTGCAGGTTAGCTCCTACTATGAGTGAGGCTCTGACTAGGGGCCAAGAGGAGTCAACAGTAAAATTAGGTTCACCCTTTGAGAAAGAGGCAAATACTTATTTAATGAAATGTAATGTAATCTATTTTTTTTTTTTTTTTGAGACGGAGTTTCACTCTTGTTGCCCAGGCTGGAGTGTAATGGTGCAATCTCTGCTCATGGCAACGTTTGCCTCCTGGGTTCAAGTGATTCTCCTGCCTCAGCCTCCTGAGTAGCTGGGATTACAGGCATGTGCCACCACGCCTGGCTAATTTTTTATGTTTTTTATTTTTTTTAGTAGAGACGGGGTTTCTCCATGTTGGTCAGACTGGTCTCGAACTCCCAGCCTCAGGTGATCTGCCTGCCTTGGCCTCCCAAAGTGCTGGGATTACAGGCATGAGCCTCCGTTCCCGGCTATAATCTAATATTTTAAGTGCTTCACCAGTTTAAACAAATTACCAAGATGGTCAATAAACCGAGTGTCATTTTTGCTAGGTTAAGAAGGATTTAGAAGCCTTCAGACAGCATGGTTTCACTTGAGATATGCCTTGAACATTGAGTAGAATTACAAATAGAAAAAAAAAGGAAGAATATAGAAAGAAGAAATAAGATAATGCATAAATTATGAGAGGAATTAACAGATATCATATGTTTAATGAATGGGAAGTATTAAGAAGGAGCTTAAATGTTACTTGGGTTTGGTTTTGTTTTGTTTTGTTTTTGAGATGGAGTCTCCCTCTGTTGCCCAGGCTGGAGTGCAGTGGCGCGATCTTGGCTCACTGCAACCTCTGCCTCCGGGGTTCAAGCAATTCTCCTGCCTCAGCCTCCCGAGTTGCTGGGACTAAAGGCATGCGCCACCACACCCAGCTAATTTTTTTGTATTTTTAGTAGAGACAGGGTTTCGCCATGTTGGCCAGGCTGGTCTCGAACTCCTGACCTCAAGTGATCTGCCTGCCTTGGCCTCCCACAGTGCAGGGATTACAAAGCCGCGGTGCCTGGCCTTAAATACTACTTTGAAATAGAAAAGTTGAAAGTGACATAATTGTTTAAGTGAGGTATATAAGTTTGGTTGGGTGTAGTCAGATATGGTATAGTGAGGGACACTCACACTGGATTGCTGAAAAAATGAAGTTTATTGTTCACAGATTTCAAAAAGAAGAGGACAGTATGCCTCACAGGGCCAATGGGAAGTGGGGGTTCCCCAGGATTGCATGTTTAACCAGCAGGTGTGGGGCAAGAGAGAAAGAGAGGGACCTGTGGGCCAAACCATTTCTTGGGGTCCAGGGTGTTACCTAGGAGGGCTTTCCCATGGCCTGATTGGATTAATTTCAATGGAACGTGAGGCTAAGCATGGCAACTCAGGAATTACGTGATTGAGTTCATTAGGATTAGAGCAAAACTAAGATGGGGAAGAAATTCAGGAGAATGGGGCCTTATTCATCTAGAACATGAAAATAGGAAATGGGTGGGGACTGCCTCAAAATATGTAAGTCAAGCCAGAGACAGGACAACAAGATGGGTGCAGAAGCAGCTTTGACATAAATGAGAATTATGAGAAGGAAAAACAGATCGTAGATTGCACTAACAAAGTTGGGCTACTTAGTAGGTAAAAATGAGTTATTCTTCAGACGGGAATAAATAGTAACAACATTTGACTCTCTGGCAGTCAATAGAAAAATGCTCACTCTTTGTGCCTTAGCCATACATTCCACCAGCCTAGTATCTATGTAGGGGCTTCAACAAAAAAAGGGTCATATTCAAAAAGCCTAAGAAACTTTGAAATTCACTTTGGGGTTGTACCTTGCTGAGTGCCATACAAAATAAATTAGTAGGATCACCATGGCGCACTACAGCCTACAAAACTCATTTTACTTAAAGAGGACATGAGAACATATACAAGGCAAGGAACCTAAGACATGCTTATTATATATTTTCTTAAATATGTAAAATATACTCAATAAAGAAAAAAAAAATCGACAAATACCAGAAGGGATAAACTATAAATAAAAAAAATCTCTATGCCCTAACAGTACTTCTCAGGGGTCAACTTGACTCATATTTTGTTGGTTATCTCTTTAAATTAGTTTTCATTTTCCCAGCTAAATTGCTGATTTAAATTTTTAAATAAATACTGTTATTATACTCTCTCTCTCCCTGCATATAAAAAATATATAGTATATGCATATATAGCCACCTCCCCATATATATGTAGATACAAATATATGAACAAATGTTCATGTTTGTACCTATGGATTTATTATCTGTATCTGAAATATATTCTATGCAATGTTATATAAAACGATTTAACTGTTTCCATATGGAGCATTTTGTTCAATCCTTAACACAGTGAATAATATAATAAATATTCTTTTACATATAACCTTGCCTACATTGATTTTTACCTAGAAAATATTCTGACATTTAGTAATATTTTCTTTTAATCTCATTCTCTCAAATTTAGGTAGATATTAATGTTGTTAGCTAATAATTACTATTTTTTCTTTCTCGTATTTATAATTTTAATTATTCTTGAAGTTTTAATATGTGGTAAAGGGCTATATAAAGTAATTTTGAATATAGGAAATGCCCTTGTATTGATGATAATTTTAATAGACATGCCCTTAGAGTTTGATAATTCTGTATATTTGCTGTAGACTTCCAATAGGTGACATTTAACAAGTTAAGAAATATTTCTTTAATCTTATAAATGTGAAACAATGAAGAATAGATTTTGAATATTTATCTGCTTTTTCTGCATCTAGTGAGATGATTTAAGGTTGTTTTTCTTCTTCTTTTAACTCTTAGTAGAGTGAATTCTATTAATAAAGCTTCAAGTGTTGCCTCATCTCTAAATTTCTGGAATAAACTCTATTTTGTACCTTGTTAATTTAATATTTTGGGCTATACAACCTACTGACACTTGAATCTAGTTTATATTTTCATAGGAGTGCTTGTGTGTTCAGATGTGTATCAGTTCGTTCTCATGCTGCTGTAAAGAACTACCTGAGAATGGGTAATTAATAAACAAAAGAGGTTTAATTGACTCACATTTTTGCATAGCTGGGGAGACCTCAGGAAACTTACAGTCCTGGCAGCAGGGGAAGAAAGCATGTCCTTCTTCACATGGTGGCAGGAGAAAGAAGTGCCAGCAGGGGAAATGTGAGACGTTTATAAAACCATCAGATCTCATGAGACTCTCATTATCATAAGAACAGCATGGGGGGAACCACCCCCATGACCTAATCACCTCCCACAAAGTCCTTCCCCCAAGACATGGGGATTACAATTTGGATTACAGTTCAAGGTTAGACTTGGGTGGTGACCCAGAGCCAGACCATATCAAGATGAATTGTGTTTGAACTTATTTCTCTAAAATGAACATGCAGTTTTTCTAAAATTTAATGTTCCAGCTTAATAACATGGATTTTAAAAATTCTCACCTTTAATAATATCTGCCTCTCGTACCATGTTTGAAATGTACCCAAATTTTCTCTAAGTTAATTTGGTAACTTATATTCTTATACATCTGTTGACTTAATTTCGCTCATTTGATTTAGATTGTTAAATTTATTGGTATAAATTTACAAACTTTTCCCAATTTCTTTTTTTAAAAGCCTCGTTTATGGCTTTATGATGGTAAGATTCTAAAACAAGTTATTGCGACTCATGGACTTATGCAACTCTTAAAAATGTATCATTACTTCTCTTGATGGCAAAGTCATGGTTCACTTATTATCTCAATCCATTATTTTACATCAGAAAGAAAATGCTTTTTTTCAAATAAAATAATCAGCATTACTTTTTGGAGTCAAGTAGAAATTTTGCATTTTTTTGAGAAAAAAAAGACAAAATAAGAGACTTTAAGGAAGCTTTGCATTAGAAACTTTGGGCCATTCTCTCAGACCTTGAATGGATAATCACTCATATTCTTCCTTCAGATTTCAAGTAGGAAAGTAAAGCATTTAGACACATAGAAAAAAAGCAATTTGGAAGGAGAGACAGAAAATGTGTGTTGGGTGTACTATTGTTTCTCTTTCTCTCAAATGAGAGAAATTATTAATCAATTAATTTTCTAGATATTTAGATATTCCTGGTGTTACATGTAGAGGATTACTATAAGCAGCAGCAATGGAATAGTATTTTTGCACATAAAGTCAAGAAAGATAGTTTCAAGATTCTACGATGATCTTGACTGTGACTTTAACCTTGGGTAAGTCACTAACGTATAGTTTTGTTATCCATATCAGGAGGTGATTAAGTTTGTCCATTGGAATTTGGTGGGCAGGCTCTTCAGGCTATTACAGGAAGCTGCAATAAAGCAGTAGAAGCACAGGATATCTACATACATTACCATGCCCCAAATCCCACGAAATCTAACTAAAGAGCACAGCACACAATTCTACCACAAGCCCTTCAAATATTAATGGGTTCTCTTTAATTAATAAAGAAGACAGAAAAACATATTGCAAAAGATACCTGAAGGAGATTAAGCTTACGATGACCACAGACTTTATCTAAAATCAAATTTCAAATCAGGTAAGAACAGTAAAACCAAACAAAAAGCAAACAATAAAATTAAAGTATATAGGTAAAGCCAAAAAGTAAAACAGGGCATGGTTTGGTCCTAAAATGCTATAGTATTATGTCAAGTTCATTCTCCTTTATTCTAATTTTTTAATCTGAATAGCTTCCTTTTTTCCCCTACATCCTTTGCAAGGTATTACATAGTTTCTCTATGTGTTTAATATTATCAAAATCTATAATGGTTATGATTTTTACCTGGCATTCTATATATTTTTTCTTATGGTTTTCTTTTCCTGGTTGAATTTTTCTAAATTATTTGTTTACATTTCTTCACTTTTTAAACTTTAAAAACTAGGAAGAGCGAATATCTACATTGCAATATCTAGGTTAACATAATATGAAAGCTCTATACACCTTAACATCAACTATTAAACAATAATAAATTTCCAGAGTGGAAAAAAAGATTCACTAAAAATAGCTGGAATTTAAAATTATATTTTTCAGCCTGTTAATGTATCATATGGAGTAAAAATAAGCCATAGGGAGGAAATGGAAACTCTATCAAATGCCTCTCTATTGCAGTAAACTTAATTATACAGCACACCATAAAATGACAGTAATATTAGAGAGGAAATGTAGCAATTTCAGATGTGCAATAACTGCTTTTTACAAGGAAATAAGTTACATCAAGTACATATACCTATACAGTCTAATACTATTTTCCAGCAAGAGCTGGTGGGATTCACAGTCAAGGGGAGGCAAAGATTTAACTAAGCTGAAATCTGACTAGTCCAGGAAGGTTTGCCTATGAAAATCACTGCATGTAAGTGTGTTCTCTTGCTAATACATAATAAGCACCTAACATAAAAATTCACATTCAATTTTTAAATATATATGTATACATACGTATGTAATAGCCTCAATCAAAACCCTTATTAACAGTTTAATTCTTGGCTTTTAAAGAAACTCTGAAGTGCTTTTTGCTACATCTGACCTATGTGTACATAACATAGAACTACATCATAGGAACAACATCCCATTATGAATTTAAGAGAATTAATTGTAATGTTTCTAAAGAAGCTTTGATATATAATCATGCGAAAAAATCTTTCATTTAAAACCTGAAAGATAACAATTGACTTTTTAAATTTTAATTGGAAAGATTATCAAGAAATCTCTGTCTTCTATGATTATTTTCTTTAATTTAAGAAAAATTGGCCGGGCGCGGTGGCTCACGCCTGTAATCCCAGCACTTCGGGAGGCCGAGGCGGGCAGATCACGAGTCAGGAGATCGAGACCGTCCTGGCTAACACGGTGAAACCCCGTCTCTACTGAAAACACAAAAAATTAGCTGGGCGTGGTTGCAGGCGCCTGTAGCCCCAGCTACTCGGGAGGGAGGCTGAGGCAGGAGAATGGCCTGAACCCGGGAGGCGGAGCTTGCAGTGAGCCGAGATTGCGCCACTGCACTCCAGCCTGGGCGACAGAGCCAGACTCCGTCTCAAAAAAAAAAAAAGAAAAATTAACATAATTACATTTATTGGTGTGTTGGTATTTTCTTGTTTATTAGATCATTACATCAGCAATTATAGCCTTGTGTGTGTGTATATATGTGTATATATACATTATATACATACATAAATATACATATATGTATATTATATATACATATGTGAATGTATATAATATACGTTTGTGTGTGTGTGTGTGTATACATATATATTTTTTGTTTTTTGTGATGGAGTCGCCCTCTGTGGCCCAGGCTGGAGTGCAGTGGCACCATCTCGTCTCACTGCAACATCCGCCTCCCAGGTTCAAGTGATTCTCATGCCTCAATCTCCTACTTAGTTGGGATTACAGGCATGCGCCACCATGCCTGGCTAGTTTTTGTATTTTTAGTAGAGACAGCGTTTCACCATGTTGGCCAGGCTGGTCTTGAACCCCTGACCTCAGCTGATTTGCCCACCTTGGCCTCCCAAAGTGCTGGGATTACAGGCATGAGCCACCGCACCCAGCCAGCCTTGCATACTTGTAATATATTTTTGCCTAAAGGTTTTTATAAAGTAGGTTTCTTATCACACAAATCATTGTTCAAATGATGGTTTTTCCACTTACTATCTGAATGACCTCAGGGAAATTCTCTAAAACTGAATCTGTTTCTTTTTCTATAAAATTACTGTATTAATGCCCACAAGTTTTATAGTTGTTATCCATGATAGAAATAATGCATGTAAAGTTTCTACTACATTTCTAAGCACATAGTAGGCAGATAACATACTGATAGCTGTTATTTCTTCTATCATCACGTACATGGTGTAGTATACACTAGGCTTCATAATTTCATTATTAAGTTTATCTGTTGACCTTGGGTAACTCAATCTCTTTGGAATATTCATAAGACCATTTATGTTTATGAGATTTTTGCAAATTCTCCAGATTTTATTAAAAAGAATATGTGCCTTGGTGCTTTGTATGTCAGATTCTTACTATCTTGCATTAAAACAAAGAGATATAGGGTCGTGTTTCGGGAAACAGAGAAGTATAAGTTGTGGCATAGAATGACAGATTACTAGGTAAAAATGTTACCTGACTGAAGATATAAATCAGTGCTTCTGAAGCTAAGGGAATTGGAGAGGAGGGGTTATAATAACAGGAAAGTGAGTGATTAGAGTGTCCTAATTTTGTGCTCATTGATAAAATAGAAGGATGAAGGGACAGTTTGAGAGGAAGGAGACAAAAGTCAGCTTGAGAGGACACAATAAGCCTCCAGGTAACGATGAGAAGTGGACATTGGTGGATGGACATAGTCTGATGCTCCTGGTGATACTGACAAGAGGTTACTGTCAGCTGGTGCAAAAATTATCTCCTTGCTTGTTTGTTATTGCCTAAAATTCTTTGATCAAGAATTACATTTTTTATATATAACTGCAGTGGGGTAAAAAGTTCTACGCTTTTGATTGCAGACATTTTAAAATGATCTGTAAGTAAGTTTATTAAGTTATCTCTTAATATATACGCAGATGTATGTCATGGCTTATACCTAAAAACTGCCCGTTTATAATATCACTACTTTCCCTTTTTCCTTTCTTCTCTCTCACTCACCTGCCTACTCACCTAACTTCCTTTCATCCTTCTTGCATATTTACCTGGAGAGGGAGTGTTCATCTCCTCTCTATGACATATTTATATCTTTGTCTAAAGCCTGTGAATATTAGGACTAAAGACTACATCCCTAATTTATTGATTTTTCTCTGGGGATATTTGGTATAAAGACAGAAATTTAGTAAGCAGGTGACATTGTAAAATTTGTTAAATAGAATTAATTCCTCTCCATAAATATGAATAAGTGGTTCTTAAAGATAAAATGTCAACTATTCACTCACCTCTTTGATAGGTCATTGGGCACACATGCCATATGGCAGATGTGGTGAAGTTAACACAGGAATAACAGGATATTCTTCCTTGAAGATGCAAATTATGACAAGTTAATTCTAGAATGGCTGAGATAATTAGTAATTGCCTACTCTGAACCTGACAATATATTATGCTCTTTGTATACATACGTTAACTCCTAAGTTTAGAGCAACTCTGGGATAGTAAGTGGTATGTGGTCCATACTACAAAGAAAAAAAATTAAAAAAAAACAAGGATTCAGTTCACACACAATAGTAAGCAGCAAACTGAGTATTAATGTAAATGTAAATGATTCTTCGACAACCCCAGAGCCAGCCAATGGAACCAATGTTTACCATCCTACTTCAAAATTTTTCATCATCATATAAACAATGATCTATTATATTCATCTGTAAGAGTTATTACAAAAATAAAGATAAAATACTCCAAATATATGAAATCAGTGTTTTAGATATCAATTTATTTTTTATTTTCAAAACTGGGATTTATAATTTTTACACTTATAGAATTTGCATAGTCAACAGGAAGATGCTGAAGATACCACTATGTCATTGGACAACTGTGCAGTGCTTTTCAGGTTGAAGGAAAGCATCTATCACCAGCTGCATGAGCTCAGGGGAAAAAAAATATGTTGCAAGAATTCATTATTTTTCTCCATTTCTAGCCCCTGTTCCTATTCAGGTACAGCAGCACAGATGGTGTTGTGGTAAAGACACATAACACTGTCAGGAGCTATAATATATGACACAAATCTGGCATTCCACATTCCCACAAGTTTCAAGGTTAAGATAGAAACTGGTCACTTTTCTGACATTCAATTAACTTCTTTTCTTTGTATTTGCATTAAAATATAAAATTATTTTTATGAGAGAATCTTCCCTAATTCATTCATTTCTATGACTCTATGAGTTTATTTTATTAACATAGATCTAATAATATTTTGAATTATTTTAGTGTATCTTGTGTTGTCATAAGTATGCTCTTAAAAGGTATTCAATTAAAAATTGAATTATACCTAAATTAATGAGAGAAGCTTGGTAACGGGGTTAATGGATAATGCTTTTGAAAATTCAAAGCTATTATACCTTTCTACTCATATATATACAGTTTTCAAATATATATATATAGTTTTCATATATATGGTTTACTTGAAGTAAGAATATGAATATACTCTCTTTTATCAGTTAATAACAGGTTGTTACAGAGTACGTATATATGAGAATATTCTTTTCTAGAGACTATAAATTGCAAAGTTACGTAGGATTACAATATTTTCAAAAACTAAATGGTGAGACAATATCCTACTAAGTGTGAAAAGGCAGTAAATTTCAGGGAATAAAGAAAAACATTTGGTCTTCTATAAAGCACATATAGTAATAAACCTAAAATCATAGGCTTTTCATTCCAGATTTTTCCTTTGAAATTCAAACACAAATTCATCTTCTCTGTCTCTCAAGTCTTCATCCAGAAGCCCCTTCATCACAGGGAACAGAACAATGAGCCATCTTCCAGTGAAAAAACTAATTAAAGAAATTAAAATATGTATCTGAATATAGATGGTATTTAACTCAACATATGTTAAAGGATATTGGTTAGTGTGCCTCCCCATAAAAGGCTGAATGATTTTTCTCTCTTGGATGTATAAAGCAGAACTGAACCGAAAGACTGAATATGCTTTTAAAAATGAGCACCACTGGGCCAGGTGCGGTGGCTCATGCCTGTAATCCCAGCACTTTGGGAGGCTGAGGCGGGTGGATTACCCGAGGTCAGGAGTTTGAGACCAGCCTGGCTAACATGGCAAAAACCCGTATCTACTAAAAATACACAAAATTAGCTGGGTGTGGTGGTGGGTGCCTGTAATCCCAGCTAATTGGGAGGCTGAGGCAGGAGAATTGCTTGAACCCAGCAGGCAGAGGTGGCATTGAGCTGACATCGTACCATTGCACTCCAGCCTGAGCGACAGAGTGAGACTCTGTCTCAAAAAAAAAAAAAAAAGAGCACCACTGGAGTAGAGGCATGAAATTAAGTTGTTTGTCTTTGGAAAGGTAGCTTTAGATTCCCAAAACACTGAATCACAAAGGCTAATGTTGATAAGGAGCTGGAGGCTGTGTTATGTTTAGGACAATATAAAGGTCTTTTAAAATATTTCTGGACCAAGATAGATTACTGGGCAAATATACTGTTCCTCAAATTCAGTTTCTCAAAGGAAACTAACAAAATTTACTATATTTTTGTGGATATAAAGGGAAATTTAAGGAGAGAGTAGTGAGTATTTTATTTATATATATATATGTATAATGACAAATCAGGCTCCAAAGATACCCTGAATGACAGAAATGATGGGAGTAAATCTAGGAAGTTGGAATTGATAATTTTCCATCTACATTTCCAACTAACATATGTGGAAGTGCAAATAAAAAACATTAAGTTCTTTCTGTGGGACGTAAACCCGAAATCAACAGTGCCAGAAGTGTTATGTGGTCACCAATAATGTATTTGATATTACTTCATATTAATAGAGTTATGTTGTTCAGAAAAATACCTTGATAGGAACTACATAATTGGGGTTGTATTACTTACATGGTGTTCTCCTTTACCCCCCATTTAGCTTGCAGCATGAAATCCAATCATACTAAACCTCTATCAGTTTCTCAAAGGCAACATGTTCTCTTAGGAGGTGGAAAATAATTCTCCCCACTCCCTTGGGTTGAGCCTTCAGATTTTACCTTCAAGACCCCATGATCAAGTCAGTTGTCCCTCTTATGTCTTCCCATTACACTCTACTTGCCAATTCTATCCCTGATCACACTACTTTGTAGTTGTTGGCTGGCTTGTTTGACTTCTCCCATTAGACTGAACTCTATGGAGGCAGGGCCATGTCTATTCTGTGATCACATTTGCATCTTCTATTCCTGACAGAGTACCTAGAACAAAAATGGCTATTGAATAAAAGTATTTAAATAAGAAAAGAGATTGTTCAGTCCACTCCGCCTGTGTAGACAACTGTAAAGAAGTGCTCCATTCTGAAACATTGCATGTAGTGTTAAGTACCTGGCTAAAATATGTACCTGGAGGAGAAGCTACCAATAGGGAGAGGGAAAATATTCTATATAATGACAGAATGGGCACCTTCAATAAGAGAAGCACTAGAAAGAATAAAACATGCTTTTTTTTTTTTTTTTCCTCAGATGACTGTAAACTAGCGTGGAAGAAAAAAGATGTTTTCTATGTAGCATGATCAGAGGACATAGGTATTATTAATGGATAGAAGTAATAAAGAAATGGATTCTACTTCAGCATAAGCAAACATCAACTAATGATTAGCCCTGTCATAAAATGACACTGGATCTTGTGGCACAGAATGTTGTTTTCATTAGGATGGCTACTTTTGAGGGGAGGAATGGAAGGAATTGATGAGTTCATGTGTTAGAAAGACTAGAAGGTTTCTCAGGCATATTTAATGTTATGTGGGGTAACTAGGTTAAAGGAAAAAGCAGAAGAAATTGGAGTGACAGTTTGGTGACTGCTGTTGTATTTGGAGGTGACATTTGCCAAGCACTTACTGAATACAGGCACCTCGCTGAAGCTTTACCATGAAAATATCAGCGTTTTCTAATATTAGGACTTGATATCTGCTAATCTTGGAAATGTTTGAATTCGCTATTACTATGTGACTCTCCAGATCTGTTTCTAATTTTGTATTTCATTCGAATACATTTTTTTAAAACTTGTGTATTTATTTAATAAATCCTTACACAAAGCTATGTGTCAAAAACATTTCAACACTTTGATAAAAATGAAATCATTTAATCCACATGGTGTGATTTTTATCCCTTATTTGCATAACTGAAGCATAGAGAGGTTAATAGTTTCTATGAGGTCACACAGGTGAAAATAGACAATGCTAGGACTCCAACCCCAGTTCTCTATATGGTTGGGATCATCTGAAGGAGCACCTCCCAATCAAATGGCCACGTGGGGCGCTAGTTCATTCTGTTTAACCATTATATACCATTGTATGAACATCCTGATATAAAGGTTCCAAAGCCTTTATTCCAATTTGTGCTATTTTGTTTGAGGCGTATGTTTTAGAAGAAACATATCATCCCACATTTGTAAATGTATCCAGTCTGATTATGCCTTTTAATTCGTGAGTTTAGTTTGTTTACATTGATTTTCTTTATAGGTACATTTGAGTGTATGTCTACAACCTTATTTCGCATTTTCTATTTGTGCCATTTTTTTCTTGACTGTGTTTTTTCTATTTCTGCCTTTTGTTTAAATTAAAGATTTCCATATTCCCTCATTTACATATTTTTTTCTCTCTGCAGATTTAGAAAAGACTCATTCTATATTTTAGTGTTAACTTTAAAGTTTAATATCCATGCTTAACAATACATCTTGATTTAATAATTTGATGACCAGGTAATACTGCTGTCTTTTCTTGAACATAATAACTTCAGTATGTGTAAACTATTCGGTAATCATTCCTGAACAATTTATTGTTTATATTTTTCCTTAAGCACCACATACACAGACATGTACACATACATATACATAAAATCATATATACAAGTTGTTAGCTACTGAGTATTATTAGTTGTTAGCTATTCTAAAAATATCTGTATTCACCATTATCTTTCTACCTAATGCTTTTCCTCTGGTTGCATTTTTCTTTTAATTAAAATTGATGCTTTAATAATTCCTTTACTAAGAATTTATTCGATGGACTCTTAATCTTTGCATGAATGATTTTAGCTAGAGATAATATTTTAAGCTGACAGTTATTTTCTCTCTAGCTTTTGAAAGCACTTCTTGCATTTCTTTCAATTGATAAGGACATTTTCCTTTGGTTTAATTATTATTTTTTGCTAGTTAATACGATTTGTCTCTGGATTTTAAAAATTTTAGTTTAGCATGATGTGTACAGTTTCTCTATTATGTGTTTAGGTGGGAATATGTTTATCTATCCTGTTTAGTACTTAGAGTGCCTTCTGAATCAGAATCTCCATGTCCTACCTTGATTCTGAAAAGTTTATTACCAGGTATTTTTTCAAATATGACTTCCAGCTCATTTTTCTGAGACACTTATCAAATATATGCCAGAGCTCCGTATTTTATACTTTATGTATCTTTAATTTTTTATGTTTACATATTTGTGTTTCTGTGGTGTGTTCTGAGTACATTCCTCAATATCATTTTGAAATTCAGTCAGTCTTCCCAATGGTGGCAATTGTGTCTTGAGTTTGGTCTGTCTACTGAGGGAAGTTTTTTGTTTTTGTTTTTGTAATTGCAGTGACTACATATTTCTTTATTAAGAGTCCTTATGGGTTCCTTTCCTGTCTTCTTGCTTGTATTTGATCTCTGCTTCATTAAAAAAAAATAGATGTGATTGTCATTTTTTCAGTTGAGCATTGTAAACCGTTAATTATTAATGAGTTTTACAATCTTATACATATGAACATTTCATCTTGGGTGAATTCAAGTTCTGGTTGGTGATTTTGAGAGCCACCTACCTACCTTCCTTCCTTCTTTCCTTCCTTCCTTCATTCCCTCCTTTCTTCCTTCCTTCCTGTCCTTCTTTTCCTTTCTTCCTTCCTCCCTCCTGTGCAGGCTGGAGTGCAGTGGTAGCAATCAGGGCTCACTGCAGCCTCGACCTCCTGGGCTCAAGCCATCCTCTTGCCTTAGCCTCCCAAGTAGCTGGGACTACAGTTACAACCATCACATCCAGCTAATTTTTTGTAGAGCTGGAGTCTCCTTCTTTTCTTTTCTTTCTTTTCTCTTGCTTTTTTTTTTTTTTTGACAGAGTCTTGCTTTGTTGCCCAGACTGGAGTGTACTGCTGTGATCTCGACTTGCTGCAACCTCTGCTTCCTGGATTCAAGTGACTCTTGTGCCTCAGCCTCCCAAGTAGCTGAGACTACAGGCACATACCACCATGCCCAACTAATTTTTGTATTTTTTTGTAGAGACAGGTTTTCACCATGTTGGCCAGGCTGGTCTTGAACTCCTGTCCTCAAGTGATCCGCCCACCTCGGCCTCCCAAATTGCTGGGGTTACAGGTGTGAGCCACCATGCCCGGCCTTATTTTTCATACCTTTCTTCAGCCGTTTTGGAACTTGGGTTGTCAGGTTTGTTTTGTGTGGGAGATTCTTTGTAGTTTTTATGTTTCCTTTTTTTTTTTGAGAGGGAGTTTCGCTCTTGTTGCCCAGGCTGGAGTGCAATTACATGATTTCTCCTCACTGCAACCTCTGCCTCCCGGGTTCAAGCGATTATCCTGCCTCAGCGTCCCGAGTAGCTGAGATTACAGGCATGCGCCACCACGCATGGCTAGTTTTGTATTTTTAGTAGAGACACGGTTTCTCCATGTTGGTCAGGCTGGTCTCGAACTCAGATCATTCAGGTGATGTGCCTGCCTCGGCCTCCCAAAGTGCTGGGATTACAGGTGTGAGCCACCGAGCCGGGCCTATGTTTCCTTTTTAAAATTAATCAGTTTGTTGGTTCACCTCCAGCTTGCCGTCTGGTGCTTATTCAAGAACCGGGTTTTAGAGTAAAAGTTTGCTACTCTGACCCACAGGAAAGTAACAGAGATGGCCACTAAGCAAGCACAGAACTCGATTCATTTCTTACCTTTGAAAGTGTGGCTTTCTGTTTTCATAATTCCACAAGTTTATAACATCTGCAGCCCAAGAGAGCGCAGTTTTTTTGTTTTGTTAAGCCTCCTCTAATAAGCATCAAGAGTTCTGGGCATCCAATCTTTGCCATAATAAGCAGTAGGCCTGGCTCTATACATCCATATATGGGAGTACTTTTAATCCCAATGGCCCCAGAGAAACTGACCTCTTGTCACTGCCTGCTTTGGAGCTTTTAATCCCAGAAGGCCAGAGGATGTAGTCTTACTCATCTTCTTATATTTATGGCTCATGAAAATGTCTGTCCAGTTTTTAAGGCCAGCTCTGTCTTTCACGTTTTCTCTTTTTCTGTTTTATCTAAAACTGCTTTGTAATGAGGGCAGGGGTTGCATCATAGCGTGATTTTACTGTCTTCCTGGCATGAAATGATGTCTTACTCATCAGTTCATCATCTGTGCTTGCTTTTGTTTATGATCATGGAGACTTACTACTATATTTATGTTAGGATAGTGATAAAAAAACAGAATTGGACTTAAAACATAGTAACATGGTAGTGCTATTGAAAAGTCAAATACACATACACTATATAGTGGATTGAATAGAACAGAGCAGTGGGGAAACAGTCATCATGGTGTATTCAAATTTGCATCAGCAAACTGAACTCAGTTTGACAATCACTTTCTAAATGGTGATTCGGTTTCAACGAAACAACACCTTCAGCGGTGAAAAAAAAAAAAGCAGTATTATTGATATGCATACTACTGGTATAGTTGTTTTCTTTGTAGTCACTTTATAAATGTCTTTTTTTTTTTTTTGGAGATATGTGTGCCTTTATTAGCGGAGCCACTACTTGAGGGAGATGAAGCGGGAGGAGTGGGTGGACCCAATGCCAGGCCGGCCGTGCTTCACGGGCTTGTAGGTGATGGAGAACTCGCCCAGGTCGTGGCCGATCATCTCCAGCTTGATCTCCACCTGGTTGAAGGTCTTGCCGTTGTAGACGCCCACCCTGCTGCCCACCATCTTGGGAGGGATGATCATATCCCGCAGGTGCGTCTTCACCACTTCCTGCTTCTCTATGGTCGGCGCCTCCTTCTTGGCCTAGCATAGGCGCCTCAGCAGCGAATGCGGCTTGAGCCTCAGCATTCCGCCACAGGCCGTGGTTCAGCCGCCGCAGCTGGCGCGCGCCGTACAGCTGCCTCAGCTGCTCAAAGGACATGTCCAGCAGCTGGCCCAGGTCCACACCGCGGTAGGTGAACTTGCGGAAGATCCGCTGCTTCTTCTCCTCTACCTCTGCCATCTTGCCGGATCCTCTGAAAATGATTCCGTAAGTGCCAGAGTCCTTCACATATGGATTTTAACCTAATTCTGTAATGATTTTAATTAGCTGATATATTAAAAACAACGTCAGTAAGTTTTTCCCTTCAAGGAAGCCTCAACTTTGAGAAACGGTGAATTACGTGAGGTGAACCTCGTATTTATGTGAGGAAAGCTCTGCACTGGTTTTGATTCTCACATTTTAATTAGCTGATACATTAAAAACAATATAAGTAATTTTTCCCTTCCGGGAAACCTCAACTTGGAGTAACGCTGGATTACGTGAGCTAAACCTCGTAATTATGTGAGAAAGGCTAAGTATTGGTTTTGTTTCCCACATTTACGTGAGGAAATTGAGGCACAATGTTAAGTGTCACAAGGTCAAGTAACTAGTAAGGGGCAGGCCAAGATAGAAATCTGTTTGCAGAACTCTTGTGCTTAATGACTAAGAAGCGTGCGCAGATGCAAGGGCCAGACAGGGAAACAAGAGATCCATTTGTACCAATAGCATGGAAGATTGACTTTGTTTCAGGGAATCGCGTTTTTTCATAAAAACTTCGGGATTAACCCACCTCACATATTTTCTCCAAAGTTATAGTTATGTATTGGATTTAAGAATAGACTGAACCTGGGCTCCCCACTGCACAAGATAAAAAACTGATAGAGGCTGGGCACGGTGGCTCACGCCTGTATTCCCAGCACTTTGGGAGACCAAGGTAGGCGGATCACCTGAGGTCAGAAGTTTGAGACTATCCTGGGCAACATGGTGAAACCCTAACTCTACTAAAAATACAAAATCAGCTGGGTGTGGTGGTGGGTACCTGTAATCCCAGCTACTCGGGAAGTTGAGGCAGGAAAATCGCTTGAACCTGGAGGCAGAGGTTGCGGTGAGCCAAGATGGCGCCACTGCACTCCAGCCTGGGTGACAGAGCGAGACCCCGTCACCAAAAAAAAAAAAAAAAAAAAAAAAGAGAAGAAAAGGTAAACCAAATGATGTACAGAAGATATTACAACATATAGAAAATCATTAAACATCATTGGTCACTCAAAATACATTCTGGGCTCAACATAGTAATGGTAAATACTCGAGGTGATGGACACCCCAAATACTTTGACTGGATCATTGTCCACTCTGTGCATGGGACCAAATATCACATGTATGCCATAAATATGTAAAATATTATCTATCAATAAAAAACTTAATGGACACACAAAATAATACATAATGTGGTTGTTCTTAAAATTGGTTTTACTCTGTGCCTCTTTACTTTTCTTATAAAGCCAAGTATTTTTAGATCCAGAGAAATTTTCAACATTTCAAAGAGTAACTCTAGCAGTAGATGAGTATTGTAAGTGTGACTCTTTATGTGTGATTTTAAAATGGTTTAAGCAAAGGAACGACATTCAGATTTTCTGAAATTACATATTTATAAAACTACTGTAGAAAAATTTATGGTGACAATATTGTTTGAGTAGAAAGCTAAAAATTTCATTGAGTATGAAGTTGGTATAATACTATTACAAGCTGCCTTTTTCCGTTGAGTTTTGACTGTTATAATCAATTTAAAATGTAACTTTTCTTTTTGGAATTATAATAAATACAATTCTTATTTTAGATAAATCATTCGTCACACTTGTAAGATCACTTCACAGGGAAAAGTATTCTTTCTTGTCTTCTCTATTTTTTTACTGGAAGAAATGATGTACTTTTTCAAGTTTTGCTAAGAACTCTTCAATGGTAACAAATATTTGATGTTATGAGATTGACATTAAATATTTAATATTATTAATATATAAAATACTGTGTCATATCTTGTGGAAGAGAGAGAAAAACGATTTGTGAAAACATACTGCTTCTTGCATATAACCATGTTTCTGCTCCTTAGTAATCTTAATTTCAATTTTGTAAAGCTTGTCTTTATTATTATCAAGAAAAGCCATAATCTAGACCCAGAATTTTGATCAGATGGCCCTTACCTCAGATTTTGAATCACTGCTCTAAGAAGGCAGATAGATAACTGTTAAAATTTGGATAAAAATGAAATAAACAAAAATATAGTTAAGTATTAAGTTTCAGCCAAGGCACATGCCAAGAGATAAACGAATGATTTGTAGAATTATTGGATAGACTCTAAAGAATATTCAGCAATATTGTATATTCTACCCATTACTTGATACTGAGATATAAAGATGTTGATAACAATGGAAAGCAGATGGACAGCGCATGTTTACCTTTCAAAATATATCTGTCATGGAGGTAGCATGTTCACCTATTGATAAGTTTGCCAGACTTAGCAAATTAAAATACAGGAGACTCAGTTCAAATCAGTTAAATTTTAGAAAAACATTGAAAAGAATTATATGTGGAATATGCTTATTCTAAAAAAGTTTAATCATTGTTTTTCTGAAATTGAAATTTAACTGGGTATCCTTCGTTTCATCTGGCAACTGTAACTATCTCGAGTGGTGTATGTATTTATATGTGTGTGTTTGTGTAGTTAGTATGGGGTGGTCTGTCTTCTATGGGAATTTGTGAAAGGCAGAGAAGGTTTTAGTCACCATGTACATATTATAAAATACATTCAGCCATTCTCATTAAGTCTAAATTAAAAACAGTTTCCCCCATCCTCCATAGGCGGGGTGCAGTGGCATGATCTTGGCTCACTGCGACCTTCATCTCCCAGGTTCAAGCAATTCTTCTGCCTCCGCCTCCCAAGTAGTTGGGATTACAGGCGTGTGCCACCATGCCTGTCTAATTTTCTTGTATTTTTAGTAGTAATTTTAGCAATTTTTAGTAGTAGTAATTTTAGCAATTATATTGCTTGGGTATCTTAACTATTTCTGCAAGATTGCCTCTTGACTTCAGAAATGAGACAAAATCTTTTTTTTCTGTATTTTTTTAGAAGAAGGTAGGCAATATAAGGACCAAAGCTAAGAAGTACTCATGATATAAAAAAATGTTATTGACACACTAAGAAATCAGCAGTTTCAGTCTTCAAATCTTCTACTGACTATATGTTCAATTCAGTCACCTAAAAAATGCATTTCCAAATCAACTTATGATTTTCACTAGTACAAAGGGGGAAAACCCTAATGCAATATAAGAAAATTTTAAAGGATCATTTTTATTTGGCCTACCAAATTTAACGTGACTGAAAATGTTCGTTGAAAATGTTCGTTAAAAATGTTCAGGAATGTCTGGTTAACCCTGAATTAAGAAAAATAGGTCAACCATAACACATTTTCTAATAATTCTGACTTTAGTTAAGATTCAAACAAGTTTGGCAGAGCATCAATATCAGTCACAACACAAACTCTGGTTTAGAGGTTCTTCATTCTATTTTACAGTATTATCTGTGCATCTCGGAAGTAGTGATCCAGAATGGCAGACCCTAAATATGCAACAAGAGAAAGTGACCATCAGTGAGTCAGTAAATTCTCTTATTCAGTATTGGCTTGAGGAGCTCTTTCATTCAAGACTTTTCAAACATACACACACACACACACAATTTTAGGAGAGTGAAATTTTTTTTACTAAATATTTAACATTAGTAATATGCAAATACTAACAATGATTTTGTGGATATTTAATCTGTGCCAACTTTTAGCTAAGCACTTTAAATATATTGACTTAATGTACTCCATATGAAGTAGATAACATTATAATTTTTGTTTTGCTTTTGTTTGTTTGTTTGTTTGTTTTTTGAGACAGAGTCTCACTTTGTCACCCAGGCTGGAGTGCAGTGGTATAATCTTGGCTCACTGCAACCTTCATCTCCCAGGTTCAAGTAATTCTTCTGTCTCGGCCTCCCAAGTAGTTGGGATTACAGGCGAGTGCCACCATGCCTGTCTAATTTTCTTGTATTTTTAGTAGAGACAGGGTTTTGCCATGTTGGCCAGCCTGGTCTGGAACTCCTGTCCTCAAGTGATCCACCTGCCTCAGCCTCTCAAAGTGCTGCGATTACAGACATGAGCCACCGTGGTCGGCCTAATTTTATTTTAACAATGAAGAAAGGGAATCAAAAATTTTGACTAATGTTTCTGTGAAGTCAAAGCCTGTGCCCTCAATGTATATTGATACACATGAGTAGAAACTGGCATAACAGTTGGAGTATATTCATGAGCATATCTGTGTTTTCTCTTAAATTATGGATCTCTTTTCCACAGAGTTTGGGAGTAGTCCTTTGGTGTGGGGCTGAGGAAAGAGCAGCAGAGCTGTCTCTAAAGTTACTGGCCACTCTCTCCTCATCCTACAGCTCTATCCTCTTTTGACTCCTAACCTTGACACAGCCTTTCTTAGGCTCCTTTTATTTAGATATTGTACTCTTCAGAAATTTGCCCTTCATTCTTTCTTCTTTGGTTTTATAAATCCCTCTTAAGAATGTGATGTAGTCTTGGTCTTCAGTGATGTAAGACCAAGGAGATTTATGTTTTGAACTCCACTTCTTTCCAGAGTTCCATATGTGTAGGCAAAATGGATATCCTCTGAATGTCCCATATGCATTTTATTTTATTTTTCATAGGTTATTGGGGGTACAGGTAGTATTTGGTTACATGAGTAAGTTCTTAATGGTGCTTTGTGAGATTTTGGTGCACTCATCACTCAAGCAGTATACACTGCACCCTATTTGTAGTCTTTTATCCCTCGCCCCTGTCTCACCCTTCCCCCCAAGTCCCCAAAGTTCACTGTATCATTCTTATGCCTTTGAGTCCTCATGGCTTAGCTCACATGTCAGTGAGAACATAGGATGTTTGGTTTTCCATTCCTGAGTTATTTCACTTAGAATAATAGTCTCCAATCTCAACCAGGTTGCTGCAAAGGCCATTAATTCATTCCTTTTTATGACTGAGTAGTATTCTATCGTGTGTGGGTGACTGTGTGTGTGTGTGTGTGTGTGTGTGTGTGTGTGTGTGTCAGTTTCTTTATCCAGTCGTTGATTGATGGGCATTTGGGTTGGTTCCATGATTTTGCAGTTGCAAACTGTGCTGCTATAAAGATGTGTATGCAATATCTTTTTCGTATAACAACTTATTTTCATATGGGTAGATACCCAGGAGTGGAATTGCTGGATCAAATGGTAGTTCTACTTTTAGTTCTTTAAGGAATCTCCACACTGTTTTCCATAGTTGCTGTACTAGTTTACATTCCCCCCAGCAGTGCAGAAGTGTTCCCTGTTCACCACATCCACACCAACATCTGTTATTTTTTGATTTTTTGATTATGGCCATTCTTGGAGGAGTAAGGTGATATTGCATTGTGGTTTTGATTTGCATTTCCCTGATCATTAGTGATGTTGAGCATTTTTTTTTTTGTATGTCTGTTGGCCATTTGTGTATCTTCATGTGGTGGCTCACACCTGTAACCCCAGCATTTTGGGAGGCCGAGGTGGGTGTATCATGAGGTCAGGGGATTGAGACCATCCTGGCCAACATGGTGAAACCCCGTCTCTACTAAAAATGCAAAAATTAGCTGGGTGTGGTGGTGCACGCCTGTAATCCCAGCTACTTGGGAGGTGGAGGCAGGAGAATCACTAGAACCCAGGAGGTGGAGATTGCATGAGCCAAGATCCCACCACTGCACTCCAGCCTGGTGACAGAGTCCACTTTTTGATGGGATTTTTTGTTTTTTTCTTACTGATTTGAGTTCATTGTAGATTGTGGATATTAGTCCTTCATCAGACATATAGATTGTGAAGATGTTCTCCCACTCTGTGGGTAGTCTGTTTACTCTGCTGACTGTTCCTTTTGCTGTGCAAAAGCTCTTTAATTAAGTCTCAGCTATTCATCTTTGAGGGTTGTTTTTGTTTTTGTTTTTTTGACGGAGTCTCGCTCTATTGCCAGGCTGGAGTGCAGTGGCGTGATCTTGGCTCACTGCAATCTCCATCTCCTGGGTTCAGGCAATTCTCCTGCCTCAGCCTCCTGAGTAGCTAGGACTACAGGCACGCGCGTGCCACCCCATCCCGCTAATTTTTGTATTTTTAGTAGAAATGGGGTTTCACCATGTTGGCCAGGCTGGTCTCGATCTCTTGACTTCATGATCTGCCTGCCTCGGCCTCCCAAAGTGCTGGGATTACAGGCATGAGCCACTGCACCGGCCTTATCTTTGTTTTTATTGTATTTGCTTTTGGGTTCTTGTTCGTGAAATCCTTTCCTATGCCAGTGTCTAGAAGGGTTTTTCCAATGTTATCTTCTAGAATTTTTATAGTTTCAGGTCTTAGATTTAAGTCCTTAATCCATTTTGAGTTGATTTTTGTATAAAGTGAGAGATGAGGATCTAGTTTCTTTCTCCTACATGTGGCTAGCCAATTATCCCAGCACCATTTGTTGAAAAGGGTGTCCTTTCCCCACTTTATGTTTTTGATGGAAACACATCCCATG
The DNA here is from genome assembly GCF_000001405.40 of Homo sapiens. NCBI lineage: Eukaryota > Metazoa > Chordata > Mammalia > Primates > Hominidae > Homo > Homo sapiens. Next base: position 164,607,848 of record NC_000005.10, read on the forward strand.
CTCATGGATGGTTAGAATCAATATTGTGAAAATGACCATACTGCCAAAAGCAATCTAAAAATTCAACACAATTCTCATCTAAATACTACCATCATTCTTCACAGAATTAGAAAAAAACAATTCTAAAATTCGTATGGAACCAAAAAAGTGCCTGCATATCCAAAGAAGACTGAGCAAAAAGAACAAATCTGGAGGCATCACATTACCTGATTTCAAACTATAGTATAAGGCCGTGGTCACCAAAACAGCATGGTACTGGTATAAAAATAGGCACATAGACCAATGGAACAGCATAGAGAACCCAGAAATAAAACCAAATACTTACACCCACATGCATTTTAAATTAAGTTTTCAAATCCAACTTTATTTCCCAAATATACTCATCTTTCATATTTCTGGTCTCAGTTAATGGCATTAATACTCAAATCAGTGAGCCGATTAGAGATTATGTTGTTTGAGTTATTCCTCATATATCCTCAGCCACTAAACTTTGTCAATCTTGCTTTTAAAATATTTTCTTGAATCATTCATCATCAAAAAATCATATTTTCACCTAAGTATTGTGTGTAATATATTCTTCTACCAACCCAAAATTCATCCTCTCTACTGCCATTAAAATTATTTTGACCAGAAAAACAAGAAAAAATAATGTGTCCCTCTCCCTTCCTAAAACATTCTTATGGCTGTGTTGTTTACAGGAGTAGTTGTCACACTGGACTGAGGTATGGAGATTATGGACATAGAAAGGATCCAGACACCAAATATCACATATGCTATTTTCCAAACTAATCTGTCCATCTGTGGCTTAGGTGTCATGGTTTATCAGCCTTTACCCATATTTATTTATTTATTTATTTATTTATTTATTTATTTATTTATTTTCTTGAGTCGGAGTCTTGCTCTGTCACTCAGGCTGGAGTGCAATGGTGGATCTTGGCTCACTGCAATCTTTTCCTCCCTGGTTCAAGCGGTTCTCCTGCCTCAGCATCCCAAGTAGCTGGGACTACAGGCCTGCGCCACTGTGCCCGGCTAATTTTTGTACTTTTAGTGGAGATGGGGTTTCGCCATGTTAGCCAGGCTGGTTTCAAAATCCTGACCTCAGGTGATCTGCCTGCCTCGGCCGCCTAAAGAGCTAGGATTATAGGTGTGAACCACCATGCCTGGCCTGCCATTTTCCCATTTTTTTTAAAGAAACACACATTGCACCAGCAAGCAAAAACCTGGGGCTCATCTAAAGAGCCACTCAGTATGTTGTTAGTCCGAGAAAGTGAATCAGCCTAATGACTACCTAACAAATACCTTTGTGAATTAGTTGGTTTTTCATATTTTGTTTTTAACAAAATTTGCCTGGTAGACCACTACAAATAATGTTGGAGATGCATGGTTATGTGATTTTTGATATAAAGCCCAGAAGAATTCGTAAGAATTGAGTGCCATGGAGTATGTTTTTTTATACCCATTTACATGTTAATGATTAAATTCTCAAGACTTAAACTCATAAATGAAAAATAAGCATAGATTTGATGCTTATTCTAGCAATCCAACATTTTTATTCATGGATATATGAAGTACTTATTAAAGGTCTTGGAGTTATTAAAGAGTATAGCACAAATAAAATGTTGCTACTTTGCATAATTATTGATTGAAATTTTAAATATTTTACGTTACATACAAACATGCTAAAAATTAAGTATAGAGGGAAATAATGTCCATGTCTTATGGATGTAACATTTTTTAGAAACTATTGTTATTATGTTAGAGCAAACTTTTAAAATATTCTGGAATAAAAATATAAGAAAAATAATTTTGTAGGGAAAGTGGAATAGAACTATGAATTCAAGAAGAAAAAATAGTGGTATAAAGTTTTCAACTATTAAAGGAGGACTGTTCATTTATTTTCAAACAAGATAATAATTTTCATATTAATTATAGTAATTAGATTTTTTCAGTATGTTTAAGTTTTATTTTTAAATGGAGTGTTATTTATAAATTCCTAGAAATACAGTTTTTTGCTATTGAAACTTAATTGAAAAATTTAAGACAACATAATTTTAGGGGGTTTGCAAAAAACCATATAAACCACTGAACCATAGAATCAAGTCAAAATTCCATATTTAGATACTTACAGTGATCATTTTAACTTTCTAATCTCATGTCCCACCACTTATATCATCTACTCCACCTACACCTGAGTTTTCTTTGGAGTGTCATTGGTCTCAAAGATTCTGTTTCTTCTGTTTAGAATCATCTTCCATTTCCTTTTTACTTAACAGAAATTGTATGTCACTTTTATGCCAATTGCCTGACACAGTCTCTGTCACATTATAGATTCACATTAATAAGAATAGTTATGATTTATTGAATGCAGTGGGCAGTAGACTAAGCATTGTGCATGCCCCAGCTGTTTTAATCCTCACAACAACCCTAACGATGACAGAACTGAGTTCCAGAGAGATCTGAATACTTACCTAAAGTCAAGGAGGAAATGAGCCTTGTTGATTAAATGAATAACCAAAAAAATGCTCGGCTGCTAATGCTTTTATCTCATTTCAACTGTTTCTATAACTTTAGATTTCTTTGGATGTACAATTTTTATAAACTAGTCCAGGCCCTGTGAACAGTTCTTTGTTGTTTGTTTTGCTTTTAATAGGAAATGTCATTACACTTTGTTGTAATTACCTGTTTAATGTCCCTCTCCTTGACAAATGATAAGCTTCACTGAGTCAGGGATCATGAATACCATATTCACCACGCCCAGCATTGTACACAGTGCATGGCATATACTGTCTTCTCAGTAATACATATTGAATTAACAAATATTCTACTACATTTTAGAAGGAGTTTTTAATCAACCCTGATGGTTGTAGATCATTAGGCACATTATTCTCTAATACAATGCTTCATTTACTTTAGAAATCCTTGTGTCACTTTCTGATTCTGTCATAACCAAATATTCCAAAATTATTCTTTAATTCACATTTTTCTTTATATTGACTATTCCTATCTCTACTTAATTTATTTACAAAGGAGACTCTGTCACCACTGCAGATGGAATGCCTATATCACTGAACATAAATATAGTAAAAGTACATACCAAAACAAGTAGTGTTATTAAAATCCAGCTAACCATTTTCATCAGCTATGCTTAAGGTTCCTTCTCCTTCTGTTAAAGAGAAAGATTGCCAACAATTAAGGAGGCCTTAAAGACAGACTAACACCAAATTATTACTTTTGCCTATTTAATCATGATTGAAAAAGCATTAAAAATAGACTTATGTTTTTCCTTTATGTGATTCTACTTAGCTTAATGACATTCCGGTGTGCCCTCGGAAATCCTCTTGGACGCTGTACTAGATGGGGTTTGTAAAATGCTTAGCCCAGTGTCTGGCACATCCTATGCATTCAAAAAAATATTAGTTATTTTTATAAATATCCCACACTGTGAAAAAAATGGCATATATAAAACTATCTTGCTTCTAATGAATATATCAAATGGGACCTCAGTGTCAAGAGTTGTAGGTCATTGAGATTGCCAAACCTTTTAAAGTATTTCCTGCCTACTACCATGCGTGTGAATATTTATGAGATTTCTAGCAAAGAAAAGCACTGAACATTTCTTGAAAGTATTAAAGTAAATTGAAAAAAAGAGTCAGAAGGGGGACTACATTGAGTTTGATTCACTAAGAAGGCAGAAGCTACTGGATCAATGACTACCTTCAACAGAGTCAGAGTTAAGCTTGTCTCAAGATGTCACACTATTAAGCAAAGAGCAATGATGTGTAACAATTTCTGGAAACTAAAAGGAGAGAAAGGGAATTGCACTTCTGGCCACTTTTTCACAGTTATTCCAGAAGTGCATAATCTTGATATTTAAGAGACTAGGGATTAAAAGTTTATTGCTTGATATAGATGCTGCTGAAAAATTTTATTTCCCATCATATTTAATATTCACAAATGATATGGTTATTAAAATACACAGTAAATTCCTTTAAAAGTGTCACATATTTTATACTAACAAAGTTGTTACACCCTCTACATTTTAATAATTTCTTTGCATTAGAAGCCAAAACTCTATCGAGATCTCCCACAAATATTCTAGTTTATGTGAATCTCATACCTAGACAAGGAGAAAATTAAGCATAAATATTTGTGAATTCATAAAAGCAACTTGTTTATATGACTAAAAAGATGCATGCGTAACTTTAGTTTGGTTAATTGACACCATCCATAGAAAAGATGCTGCCGGTACACTCTAGAATGTTCAGTTGAAGCTGATATTTCAAAAAAGATAGGGTAATGAAGTTTACTATAATTAACAATGAAAGAGTGAGAATTATTGGAAATTCACAAATTAAACCAGCACAGTCTCTTTATCAACTTCCTGTTGAACTGTGCTTCTCATTTAACATATAAACACCACCTGTGCCAGTGCTTTCCTCTCCAAAATTGCTATAACCTTGTTTCAGAGAAATCAGCAGTCTATGATATTTGCCTTAAAATAAAAGAACAAGGCTATCCATTCTCAAAAGAGCTAATGTGTATATGGAATACCCAGAAATCCTCTTTGCTGAGGGAGTCTGTCAAATCCTTTGGAGACTAGTGTTTGTTTTGGAGGCCTTTGATAAACTATTAAGTTTAAAAGAAAGAAACAAGTATTTGCAAAGTTTGTTTCTTATATTTCGAAATATGCAGTTGCTGAAAATAGTTACTTGGTTCATGAGCTGGCTCATTAGGCTCATAGCTTATTTTGTATTTGATTTTTATTATCATAAAAGATAAGATAAAATTTACCATTTTTACCATTTTTTTAATGTACAGTTTGGCGCCATAAAGTACATTCACATTGTTGTGAAACCTTCATCACCATACATCTTGCAAAACTAAAACTGCATTCATTAAACAATAACTCCCTATTCCCTCCTCCCCTCAGCCCTTCATAATCCCCAATCTATTTTCTTTCTCTATGAATTTGACTACTCTAGGTACAATATATAACATATTTAAGTGGTACCCAGAGTAGTCAATATTTGTCTTTGTGACTGGTTTATTTCATTTTGCATAAAGTTTTCAGGGTTCATCTATGTTGTAGTATGTATCAGAGTTTCTTTCCTTTTTAAAGCTCAATAATATTCCATTGTATGTATATACCACATTTTGTTTCTCTATTTATTTGTTGAAGGACAGTTGGGTTTGGTCCACTTTTTGGCTATTGTGAATAATGCTTCTATGAACATGGGTGTACAAATATCTGTTCAAGTCCCTCTTTTCAGGTCTATTTGTTTTTTTGTCTGTATCCAGAAATGGAGTTGATGCATCATATTGTGAATTCTATGCTTAATTTCTGGAGGAACCACCAAAATTTCGTGTCTTAATTTTATCCAAGGGAACCCATAGCCTTTTTTCCTGTTGTCCTTTTCACACTCTGCACACACACACACACACACACACATACAAACACACTCTTCCTCTCCTCTTTATTCAGATTGGCTTTAGCAGGGGAGAGTCATTATAAAGCTCATTAATCTTCATTTTTCACAGCAAGATTCATTTTATAGGACTGAAAGATGCAGAAATGGAACCACACAGCACTTTGTCAGCAGCTAGGATTTCTGAATTTGATGCCGAGTGAAAATTAAACACAAGAGACCAGACAGCAGCTCTAATAACTCAGTAATTTCTAAATAAATAGACTGAGATTGATGGAACTGAAAACAGTTTTCACTAACAAGGGAAAGTATACAGGGTAGTAATATTTGACTCAAATATGCTTTGCATAAGGGATTGGAATTCCTGAAAGCCTCTCATTTCCCCATCAGAGAATTTGTTTCTTCTATCAGTCAAATGGTGGTTAATTATCACATTTCAAGGAGCAGCTCATTAATTCATTAACTAAAAATAACTAGATATTTATGTAGGAAGATAACACACAATAACCAATAACTTGAATAGCTCTGCCAATGTAAATTGTCTTCCAATTTCAGGAAAGTTTCAGGAGGTGATTCCACAATATAAGTTTATGCCAATTGTTAATTTCCACTTCAAGAATTTAAGAATTTTGGAATGAAATAAATTTAAAACTACATCCCTAAGGGAAATTATTTTATCTCCATTTGATCATCTTTGTTTGGCAGTTTGATACTGACAAAGAAAGGTACAATTGGGAATAAGAGGCTGGCCAGGAAACAAATAAAGTACTGTATTAAAATGCCAGTTAAGTCAAGCACTTTAAGGAAAAAAAGGTGGGGGGAAGCGCTAAGAGAACTGGGAACTTTATTTTTCCCCTTGTCAATTCTAAAATTTTTCCCCGGTATCAGGAACAAAACTTTAATACACATATATTTAGTATACTGTTTAAAAAGCTGCTGTTACAAAGTTAACTCTTTTACATTTAAAACTCAATGATTGAAAAGGTTACTTTGTTTCTCCTTGTTTCATTGTGAAATGTCTACCGTAGAGTATTGTGATATATTTATGATAAACACATTTATGATAAATTAAGGAATAGTCATTAAACACACACCAGTATCCACCACTCAACCAAAAATATATAATTTTAATTTAGAGAAAACTTATACTTTAAGTTTCATGATAGATGTTACTGGTATGTTTTTCTAGCACAGACACAATTTCAACTACTGTATTTTATGTATTACATATAGGAACAAAGTTTTGGCCATTTAGAAAGGAAGATTTTTAAAGGAGGGGGTTTAAATTTAATCTGCATAACAATGTACATAATCCTAAAATTCTGCTTACCCTTATCACAGAAGGGAAGAACAATCTCCCCAAAGATGTCTGACATCCTACACAGATATGAAGGGCTTCCACCTTTGCCCTAGTCCCTGCATGTTCCTGTGCCTAACTCAAGCACTGCAAAGATCTGTTCCCTGTTATAAATCTGTTTGGAGAATCTAGTTTAAATAAAAGTTTCCTTTTTATATCTCTGCAACTTTAACAAAGATAAAGACTTAAAATATGGAGGTATTACTGTTGAGAGTTGGCCCTATGTCAGAGTAAAACTAAGTTTGACTTACAACAAACTTTCAGTTTTCACTACTATAGTATAATCCAATGAAGTTGAGACATGTGTTCTCCAACCTGTGAGCTATACACATGCTGTTTCTTCTGCTTGGAACATTCTTTATTACCCTTTTTCCAGGATTACCTTCTCTTTGTCTTTCAGCTCAGTGATCACTTCCTCCAGGAAGCCTTTCTTGATCCTTTAAGTGTAGAATAAGTTGCTACTCTTCTGTCCTCATATTATTTCTTGTATTCCCCACTCAGTAACTACCACTATAATATCACACTGTATTGTGATTGTCAGTGAGTTCTTTACATTTCTCCTCACTAGATCTACTAGCTTTGAAATGGCGGAGACTTTACATGTTACAAGTTATGGCCCAGTAACTTAGCACAGTGCTTGCCTTATAGCTGACATTTATTGCACAATGTCATTAATCTCTCTGAATAAAAACACCCATTCTGTATCTGCACAGAATTGCCTACATTTGGCATTTAGAAAACTTAGCTTACATTTGTCAGTTTTTACAGCATAGCTTCTGAGTCTAGAAGCACAGATAGACACATTTTTTAAAACTGTTATATTGCCTCACCCTTGAAAGTATAGTCTTTTTGAACTAATGAATTTAGATCAGTGTTTCTCAGAATTTAATGGGCATAACAGTATCATGGGGAACCTGTTAATATTGACATTCTGATTTAGTAAGTCTGTGATAGGACCTGAAATTCTGTGTTTATAACAAGCTGCCAAGTGTTACAAAGCTACTGCCATTCGCCATTTCATCAACTATAGTTATTTCCTCAAGATAAAGATATAAAGAAATGTCAAAAAGAATGAGAAGAAGGAAGAGAAAGCGAAGTAATAGGAGTCAGGGAAGAAGAAGAAGAAGAGGAAGAACAATCCAACTAAGCAATAAAAGTGGCAGCTATCTTTCCTTGCTTATATATCTATGTGGAATCTTTGCAGTTAGGAAATAAAAAAGCATTAAAACAAAACTACCAAATTATAGGCTAAGTAATAGACCAAAATATGCTTAGCATAAGTAAGTGTTGGGGATTTAGTGGTAAGATGATCAAGTGAAGCACCTCCTTTAGAGGACTGAATGCAATTGAAAACTCCTATGTCAATGATCAATTTTAAAATAGGAGGGGGATGAAAATCAACAATTCATGAAGAAGAGAAAGAAACTAGCAGGAAGTCATTTCTCAGAAAAGAAACTAAAAGTTAATTCACCAAAGTTATAAGAATAAGAAAGCCAGATGCACTGTGAAGAGGAACGAGAGAAATATTTAGCAGTAGAACAATAGAGGGGAAAAAAATCGAGGCTAGTCTACCTATGAAGGAGACAGGCACTTAAATTCATTTGTTCAATGTATTTTAAGAAATTATTGTAGGACATTTTACTAAGTTTATTGGTTAAAATGTTGAATAGGTATTAAGTGCTATAGAGTTTCTTTGGGTAGACATTCACATAAATGAAAAAGTGCAATACATTTTGTTGTAAAAGAAGCAGGCATTTTGTAAGTCAGATGGGAAGAGTCTGACTGAGTGGCTGGGGTCATACATCAGAAAGGTAAGAAGGAGAAGACTTTTGAGCTAAATGTTAAAGGATGAAAAATTACCCCGTTCTATACTCTCTCTCACTCCTGAGAGAAGAAAGAACAGTCCAGGCAGGAGAAAGTACTTGAATAGATAAACTGAGCCATATACTTGAGCTTGAGGCAATTGGTATCACTAAGGAAGGCAGATGATTGTGTACGATTATACCAGTGTCTGTATATGGGTATTCAGACACTATATTGAAAGAGGAGAGAGAAGAAAAGAGAAAGAGAAGAGAATACATATAAAATTTAATTTGGGGGAAGAAGTGAAGACACTTTTGTTTTTTGTTTGTTGGTTAAAGGAAGGACATTTTTATACTTAAATAGACCTGTTTAGTGTAACATCTTCAAGCTTGCTTGGAAAAGAGAAATGCTAATAGTGAAAATAGACAAAACAGAAAAGAGTGGTAAGAGAAACCTAATTTGATCTAACATTTTCAGATATGAATATTTTATAACCTATACAAATTAAACTTTCAGAAGGAGGAAATAAGGAAAGTTGAGAAATATTAACATCTTTATTGAGACTTTGGTCTAAAATACCATAAAGTGAAATTTTGTTATAGTGTTTATTTTGCTTAAGTTAAATAATAGTAATTATAAAAGTAATAATTAAGAAAATATAAACATACATAAACTTGTATAATTTACATTAAAACATTCCTTAGACACCCGAAAACATATTTTTTTGATGAGTCCGAATGACGATAATAGTAGAATAAAGTTCTGGTTTGATTTTGAGTTCTCCTTTTACTTCTTTATTTATTTTCCCATAAATTAATAGGATTAAGCAATCACTCAGTAAATCAAGGAAAACAGTCATTTTTAAGTTAATTATCAAATAACAACAGCAGAAAAAGAAAAGATGTATAAATGCAAAGCAACTGTTTTATCATATGTGTTTATATTCTGCCTCTATTCATCTATAAGCCAGTATATTCCAACGCATGTCATAGGAAAGGGACGTGAGTCTGGCTTTGTGATTGACTCGTAGATAGCATCACAGACAACTGGAATTCGAAGAGAAACTACAGCAGATGGACGTTTCATATTGACTTTCATTACACATGCAGCCTGATATATGAGTGAGAAGACTGTGCCTTGGGGTTTGGCCTTGTCTTTCTGCAGGAGAAATAGCAGGAAAAGGGGAGCTTAGTGGTTTCTGGCAGATAGTGTTAATTTTCCACTAAATCATTGTTTACAAAGCAAGAGGAATAAATAGGGAAGGATACCAATTTTATTATTCTCAAAGCTATCTTTCTAAAAATGACTAGCAATGTTTCAGTAGAGTAAAAAGTCATTTTCAATGGAAGGATTTATATATACAGTTTTTTCCTATAGGTGAGTATTATCAGCTTTTCAATCCTGGGCCCTGGTATTTTATGAAGGATAAGCTCCTGGAGTACTTTTATAATTTAAATCTTGCATAAAACCAGATGAATGTTGACAACAGAGAGATTTCTATTCACCTGTCAAAAGTCATTGGTTACTGTTATTAGTGGCAACACAATTTGCAGTTTGAAACTACACGATTCCTGACATATTTCATGTTATTTTGGATTTTGTGCATAAAATGGTTTTCACATAATATTTTATATTACACTATTTTAAATTAATGTAATTCCAATGAATATACACACTCCTGTTAAAAGACACATTTGGAGACTTTGCTGTCAAATATTTTATCCTCAAAACTTGACCTAATTTAATATTTCAAGCTGATATGGTTATATCCTTATCTAATTGTTGACCCTCTTTGATTTCTCAGAGAAATTAATAAAATACTTCTCTGAGATAGCAACAAGACACTGACCTTAAAATTGCTCTTGTATATCAAATTTTATTAGAATTCTTACTTGTCTTCTGTCTTAAATCTTTAATGCAATTAGATAGATTAATGACTTTTAAATTGTATTAGTTGAATAATCATGCATTATTCTCATTAAACAGGATGCTACTATAGTTATTTTATCATAGCTATTCTGCTTTTATTGTGACTTTTGCAGTACTTTAGTCTTAAGAGCTATTGCTCATAGAAACATGGCACCGTAGACTTATTTGGCACACAAAATAATTATGATTATTTGAAAACTGCTAAAAGCATATGTTTGCATAAGCAGAAACATTTAATAATGTTTTCATTTTTTACTGAAAAAATGTTCTATATATCTTACTAAAAACTTCAGGGCTTTGTACTCTTGTCAAAAACAATACCACATCAGCTTATAGAAATGATGGATAGATAGAAGACATCATAAGATAAACTACTAAGTAATCCTGACAGAAGAAACACTGTATAATATCTGTTTTAAAGGTCATTTTTGCAACGCTTTTTAGAATATAAGTCTGCCTTTGCTGTTTTCTATCCAATAATGTGAAAATTCTAGACTTAAGTAGTAGCAAATAGAAAATATGTTTACCATATAACTGATGGACTATTTAAATTAGATTTCACTATAAGGGAATCTTTTGTAGATGGAATGACTTAGAGGTCTCTTCCTGTAAATAAGTACTTTTAAAATACAAGGCAATACTAAATTAGTATTTTGCACAGTATCTTCGCTTAGAATGATAGTAGTAGTATGAATTTGTATAATGAGCTCTTTAGAATAGATGACTACCATCGTCATTTATTTCATCTGAGAAATCCAAGCTATTATTAGCAATATTAAATCTAATCATATTATGTCCTAAAACATTATTTGAATTCATTGATGTGAAGGCAAATGATTATAAAATGTTCTCTTAAGTACATTACAGAGGAAACAAACACCCTAACTATTATTTCTGACAGACGACAGAGTATTAAAATGCTACTAGATGATAGCCCAGCTTGGACTTACAGAATTAATGAAAAACAAATGTTCTAGGTGATGTGTAAGCGTGACATTCTCTCTGTGGGATGACCTTCATTCTTCCTTAGTTAGCTGAGAGTTTCTTTGTTATCTTTCTTGCCGAAGGACCTCAGGGCCTTGTATCATTATTGAGTGAACACAGTGTCACCTCGGCTGGCAGAAATGTTTTGTCTCTTGTCAGGAAGAGAAGTTTCCTTATGTCATCTGGAGAGCACCACAGAGGGACTGGCAATTGAGACCAGACATTTCAATCAGTAAACTCAACCCAGTGGAGATGTTTAACCTGCTAGAGTTGTTCAGATCAGAATATTTAAACTCTGTTGTGTCTCTCTTGGAACTTAGGGTGTTTGTTATGTATGAAGAAAAAAAATCAGATTAACCTATAGTCAAGATATTTCTTATCTGGTAGTCAGTGTTATTTGGTTAGGAGGACATTACTTTTTTTTTACATTGTGCACAGATACAATATATGGATACTTTTCATCACCAGATTACATTGACACATCTTCTCTAACCGAAATTCCCAAATTGATTCCACTAATAGTCACAAAAAGAGGGAGGAGAAAAGAGGTAAGAGGTATACCTGACACCCTACCAAATGAGATACCAATATAATATTTTCCTCTGAACACTCAACTTATTTTAACAGTAACAACAAAGCATTGGATAATACTAATGTATTGATATTTAAAATTAAAAAAAAATTTTTAAGAGACAAGGTCTCTCACTCTTTTGCCTAGGCTGCTGTGCAATGATGCAATCTTGGCTTGCTGCAGCCTCAAGTGATCCTCTCACCTCAGCCTACTGAGTAGCTGGGAGAACAGGTGATTATCACTACACCAGGCTTTTTAAAATTTTATTTTAAAAAGAAAATACGGACACCAGAAGATGCTTTGTAAAATGACAGGTATAACTTCTATCAGCATGTCTTTTGGTAGGCAGGTTTTCGGGGAGATTAAATATCAGCTTAGACTACTTTGAAATGCATTAGAATGTGAATGTAATTCTCTATGGGTTAAATCATTTAACTGTTGAACTTTCTCTAGCCTTCTGAATGCAATCCAGGGGCTTGTCAATGTAAAGTAGCAACAAAGAGAAAGTAAAAAAAATTTTAAAAAGGTATTTTGATGATTCATGGCATGGATGATTAACTCATAAAGTTATACAAGTTTGCAAGTAGGAGATGGTTCCTTGTTGTTTGTTTGTTTGTTTATTTATTTATTTATTTAGGACTAAATTTGAAGGAGGTTTCAGCCAAAGAGTTCCGCGATACAGCTCACAAAAGCTTGGCTTCAGGTTGCTAGAGTAGCAGATCTGGCTATGACAACATTTACACTATATACCTGAGCCACAGAAAAACTTTCTGAGCCTTGGTTACCTCCTTCTTGAAAATGGAAATAGAAAACGTGCTGCTGGGCTGGATGTGCCTCAGACCTATAATCCCAGCACTTTGTGAGGCCAAAGCAGGAGGATCACTTGAGGCCAGAGGTTTGAGACCAGCCTCTTCTACATTAGAAAGGCTCCGTCTCTACAAAAAAATTTCAAAAATAAAATAAAATTTTAAAAAGCCAAGTGTAGTGATAATCGCCTGTTCTCCCAGCTACTCAGTAGGCTGAGGTGGGAGGATCGCTTGTGGCTCTAGTGATTGTATGAAGCTGCAGCAAGCCAGGACTGCATCATTGCACGGCAGCCTAGGCAAAAGAGTGAGAGACCTTGTCTCTTTAAAAAAAAAAAAAAAAATTTAATTTAAAAAAAAGAAAATGTGCTTCATTTACCTTTAAATGACGGTTGGTTAAATGTGCTTCATTTTCTTTTAAATGGTTGGTTAAATTGGTTGGTTAAGGGAGAAACTGCTTTGAAAACTTAATTTGTGGTCTACTGTCATGTATGGATATAATCAGTGTCTAAAAACGGTGTCACATACCTGGATGATTCCATGAAATGGAGTAAGTTGACAATTTTGGAGAAACCATGGAGAATTTGTAACTCATATATAATAGTGTCCTAAGTGGCTAATTAATCGGGTGTATTAACCATGTTTCTAGCTCCTGTAAACTTGTTGCTTTAACATCCGCTCTGCATGCCTATGCCAGCCTTGCCTTGCTATGGGCAACCCTACATAATGGCTGAATCACCTTGCCCCAGCCTCCTACCTCCCTTGTGCTCCTCACCCCAGGAGGCCCCTCCTTCCAGGCGTGCATTTTAAAAATACAAACCAACCAATCCAGGAACCACATTCCCAACCACCTCTTTTACTGGCTCTGCAAACAAGCCAGTATCCTCCTCACTGCTGGGCCAGGTATCACACAACCAGACACAGCTCCTATGCCCCAGAGTTTGCTGAAATTATTCCAACTGTGGCCAATCCGAATCCTGCTTACTCCAGCTCTTTCATTCTTTTCTACAGAAACAACAATTAAGCTTCTTTCCCACAGTTTCTCTCTTTCCCTCTGCCTCATTATCAATCCTGGTGTTCCCCCGTGTGACTCTCCATGTCCCCTCCTCCTGGGAATGGTGAGTCATAGGGTATCTTTCCAATTACAATTGTCTCCTTATCTGTTGGCCTCATTATACCTCAAATTTTCTATTACTACCTTGTATCTTAAGTCACCTGGCTACTTTTATACCAAGATGTGATTAAAATTAATTTAATGCGTTAAAATGCACTTTAAAACTACTTATTTCCATAACCTGACTTTCTCAGGTAGTTTAACAAGAAAACTCAAAGGGATATTCTGACAAACATAATTCAAAATACTTTTTATTTAGACTGTCTTGCTTTATTTTACCACATGTACATTATTTAAGCCACTCATTAAATATATTTACAAGTATAAGTAGTAGGAAGTTTGGAGTTCTAATTATGGAGAGGGCATCAGGCTGGTGGGAACAGGGGAAAGCAAAAAACAAACAAACAAAGACAAGTAAACCGTAAGTCTGCCTTTCTTTATGGTCCGAGACATATGGCCCTCCTGCGCAAATAACTCACAATCTTCTTCCTGCGCCCAACTATAACCAGACCCTCAGCTAACAAAAAATTACAAGTTAACTCACTACCACCTTGGCATTATCAGTACTACAAAAAACCCTCTTCAAGGCTTGGCACGGTTGCTCACACCTGTAATCCCAGCACTGTGGGAGGCCAAAGCCAGTGGATTACCTGAGGTCAGGAGTTCAAGACGAGCCTGGCCAACATGGTGAAACACTGTCTCTACTAAAAATACAAAATTTAGCTGGATGTGGTGGTGCATGCGTCTAATCCTAGCTAAGTGGGAGGCTGAGGCAGGAGAATAGCTTGAACCTGGGAGCTGGAGGTTATGGTGAGCTGAAATGGTACCACTGCACTACATCCTGGGTGACAGAGCCAGACTCTGTCTCAAAAAAAAAAAAAAAAAAAAAAAAATTCCCTCTTCAACACACAATATAAGCACTATCCTATAAAATCCCCGGCAAGCCTTTGTCTCCATACAGTCAACTCCTCTCTTACTAACTGCCTGTTGCTCTCTTACAACACATTTGAATACTTTAATAAATCTGCCTTTCTTTATCTACGACTGTCTTAGTAAATTCTTCTTACCCTGGCCCCACCGGCTCCAGATAGCAACCACTTGCTCACGACAGGAAGTTACTATTTTGCTTTTTTGGCTTAACATTTATTCAACAAATTATCATGCTAGGCACTGTTCTAGACATTGAGGCTGTAACAGTGAGGAAACCAACAAGCCTTGCTGCCCTCATGGGACTTACATTCTAGTGTGAAGACAATGAAATGATACATAGTGTATTTTATGTAAGATGGTGAAAAGTGCTAACAGGAAAAAATACAGCAGTGAAAGGTGATATAATATGCTAACACTGGCCCAGCCTGGCCAACATAGTGAAACCCTTTCTCTACTAAAAATACAAAAATTACCCAGGCATGGTGGTGCATGCCTATAGTCCCAGCTACTAGGGAGGCTGAGGCAGGAGAATTGCTTGAACCCAGGAGGCAGAGGTTGTGGTGAGTTGAGATTGCGCCACTGCTCTCCAGCCTGGGCAACAGAGTGAGACTCCATCTCAAAAAAAAAAAAAAAAAAAAGTTGCCACTGGTGTGATCATGTAGGAGATGGGAAGGAGTTAGAGTGACCAGGCACTTGAAGAATGTGACTTTTGAGCAAGAACCTGAAAGATTTCAAGACCCATAAGTGAGGATAGCTGGAGGAAAAGTATTCCAGCCAGAAAAACAGCAAGTGCAAAGACTTTGATTGAGGACCAAAGTCAAGGAACAGAACTGAAGCTGCTGTCACTGAGGCCTAATGAACTAGACAGAAAGTAGGAGGACATAAAGTCAGAGAAGAAACAGGAAGGAAAAAAAAAGGACCAATGGGGCCCTAAAAGATGGAAAGCATTTGGAGCAATTGATGGATATTGTAATGGCATCATTCTGGCTGTTCTGTTGAGCGTGCAGTATAGACACTCAAGGGCAAAAGCAGGAAAGCCAGTTAGGAAGCTAAACCAATCTAGGCAAGAGAGACTGTGGTTGCCTGGGTAAGAGAGTCACAGTCAGAGTGATAATTAGTGGTCAAATTATTTAGAAGGAAAAATCAAATAGACCTTTTTGAATGTGGTATTTTATTATAAATTGACAAATAAAATTGCATATATTTATCATGTACAAAATGATGTCTTGAAATATATATACACTGGAATGACTAAATTGAGCTAATTAGCATACACATTACTTCATATACTTTTTATGATGAGAACACTTAAAACCTATACTCAGCATTTTTCAAAAATACAATATGTTTTATTTATTTATTTATTTATTTATTTATTTTTGAGATGGAGTCTTGCTCTGTCACTAGGCTGGAGTGCAGTGGCACAATCTCAGCTCACTGCAACCTCCGCCTCCCGGGTTCAAGCAATTCTCCTGCCTCAGCCTCCTGAGTAGCTGGGACTACAGGCACGTGCCACCACACCCAGCTAATGTTTGTATTTTTAGTAGAGACGTAGTTTCACCGTGTTGGCCAGGATGGTCTTGATCTCTTGACCTTGTGATCTGCCTGCCTCGGCCTCCCAAAGTGCTGGGACTACAGCCATGAGCCACCATGCCTGGCCAAAATATATTGTTTTTCACTGTAGTCACTATGTTGTACAATGGATCTATTGAACTTATTCCTCTTATCCAATTGAAATTTTGTATCTTTTGACCAACACCTCTCCACACACACACACACACACACACACACACACACACACATACATGCACGTACACACAAACAAACACACACATACCAGCCTAGTCTCTGGTAACCACTATTCTACTCTCTATTTCTAAGAGTTTTTAAAATTTCACATGTGAGTGAGATCATGCAGTATTTGTTTTTCTGTGCCGGGCTTATTTCACTTAACATAATGCCATCTGGGTTCATCCATGTTGTTGGAATGACATAATTTCCTCCTGTTTTATGGCTAAATAGTATTCCATTGTGTGTATATACTACACTGTCTTTATCCATTCATGTGTTGATGGACAGGTTCATTCCATATTCTGTCTAGAGTTGAAGCAACCATTTATGGTCATGAGGCTGCATGGGAAAGTCCCAAAGTTTTTGCTAAGGATGATAGGGCATATTATGTCTTTAAATAAAGAAGAAAAAGAGGCAAATAGTGAAGAGGAGTTCCTCCTATCAAAACTTTATCCTTTTATTCAGGAAGGGACCTCTCCTCCCAGCAACTGTAGTGTAAGCCTCATTGTCAATGAATTGTGCCAAATAGCTTGCCCTAACTCCTGAGAAATAAAAAATGGAGTACTTGGCTTTCTAGTCTTGGTGGTAGATGACGACAGGTGAGAAGAAAACTGGTAACAGATTTTGAGGGTGACAACTCTAGCATCTACCACAATGTACAAATCTAATGGAAAAACCTGACTATACGTTGTCCACTACATATTATTCTGTATTTACCCTGACATAAAATGGAGCAGAAATTTTGTCACTAACAAATGTCCTGCAGAAACGTGATAACTGCTGTTCAACATGCATCACAATTTCAGACATTTCTCTATGTAATGAGAATGTGGATATTTCTGTGTATGTGATCTCTCTAGAATATTGTTATATGCCTAATGGAACAATTTGCCTTTGATCAAATTTGAGTTAAGTGTTGAGTAATCTGAAATCCACTGGTATGTTGCCATCATCTTACTTTCAAGTGTGCTCACTTTAAATAGCTTGAAATTGTTCTCCATATGTGTGCTGTATTATACGAATATGCATCTCAAAGAAAATGATAGTACAATAAAATAATATTATGAGTCCAATAAAATTAATTGCCTATTTATAATGGAATCTATTTAAATTTTTTCATTTAACTATTTTTGAAACAAAAATGTTCAGCCATAGGTTAAGCATATAAAGCTTTCTATTTTTGTCCTTGTCTGTTTCATCTCATTAGGTTATCACTAAGCCATAAGATGATACAGTGCATTACAGGTAGTGTAATCTATTGTAGTAGGCAATATGTTAGGATATTGGAAAACTGAAGAATCTGTTCATTCTCTCGTGCTGGCCACCTGCTATCCTGCTAAGATTAATAACCTGGGACTGAAAAAGAAAAGGAAATGCAGATTTTAAAAGTAAAAATGTAGAAATTTGTACTACCTTCTGAATAAAAATTCCACTAAAGGAAACCATTTAAATTAATGCAGTGTTCTAAGTGAATGTCTGATGCTATTGTCAATAAGCACACATTCAAATGTTCAGGTGGATTTTTGTTTGTTTCATTTTGTTCTTACTATTAGCTGTTGATGGGGCCCATGGTCTGATTTCCATGTGTACCTTAAATATTGAGAAACAAGTCTTTCAGTTCAAAGAAGAAGTATAGAAAGTGCTAGTGTTTTTAACAGACATAAGAAGACCAGAATACAAAATAATACATTGAACAATATCTAAAATCTAAATAGAAAATATATCCAGACCATCTTGTATGTAAGAGACATAATAATGGTAAGTTAAGAGTCAATTAATTTCTAGAATAGTGCCTTGGGTCTAGAGTCATTCTGCATCATCTGAAAGTCAATTTTTTGAAAGGCTAAACTGAAGCAAGCACTGGAGAGTCAGTTAAACTTTTTGCCTTTTAGTGCTAGGTTTCACAAGTCTGTAGATTATAGTTAGGTCGAAAACCTAATCAAGAGTATATACAGCAGTTTGGCGATTTCTATACACTGATTTTGAGTAGGTGGTGTTATGCAGGCTTTATTCTTCAAATCTTTTCAGTATTAAAAAATAAGAATTGTAAATATTAACAAAAGAGGTATGGCTGCTTAAAATTTATTTTTACAATCACAGATTTTTTAAACATCCTAAATTACCAGACTACTGTTACTATGTTATGGCTTTTAAGTCATAAATGATACTTTAGTACATTATAAGGTATATTCTTTACTATTCACTGTTACTTTTTTACATTATTATTTTTACCTCAAAATCAATCAAGATTACCTGTTATCTACCAGGTATTAGGACACCTGTATCTGCTATACATTAATTTCAAAGTCCTTTAGGAGACACATTAATACAATAAAGAACAGATGAGTGAGCATATGGTTTGTTAAATCATGTTTATAATAATTAGATACAGATCACATTTAAATAAAGGGTCAGTGGCACATAAATTGGAAACTCTAATTTAACACATTTTAGTAGTAAGAGGTTAGAGGCATTACTACCAACGTGAACATCAAAGCCATATGCCATGAAACAAACAAATCGAATTATTAAAATGTAGAAACACAACACTGCATAAGAAGGTAGCACATTTTAAAAACATGGTTAGTGATTCTACGAAATCTTTACCAGATGGTCACAATTGGTACAAGTCCATGACAGATAGAGAAGTATTTCTCAATCTAGAATATGTAGACAGTGTCAAAAATGTGTGAACAATAGCCAAGACAGAGATTGTGAAATTACTTAAACAACTTCCTATATCTAACCCAGTTTGGAAGAGTTGTGCTTATTGATTTCCTAATTTAATAAGTCAATGAGAATGCATTTTTTTACGTTACAAATCTCTTTGTGATGCATCCTTTAGAAACCATTTCTCCAATAGCATTGGGCCATTGTAAATATACTAAATTGCTCAAGTATATTTCTCTGAACATCATAAATTTTGATTTTAAGGTAAGTTTGTCAATATAACATGGCTTTCATTGGATATTTTTCATCCCTTCTGATAAACAGAAAAATTAATTAGAGAAATTCTATAAGTCATAGTAAGTAAAATATATAACAATTATAAAAGCAGGATAAGCCAGGCACAGTGGCTCACGCCTATAATCCCAGCACTTTGGGAGGCTGAGATGATAGGATCGCTTGAGTCCAAGAGTTCAAGACCAGCCTAGGCAACATAATGAGACCCCCATCTCTACTAAAAATAAAAAAAATTAGCCAGATGTGGTGGCACACATCTGTGGTCCCAGCTGCTCAAGAGGCTGAGCCAAGAGGATCCTTTGAGCCCAGAAGGTAGAAGCTGCAGTGAGCCATGATATGATTGTGTCACTACACTCCAGCCTGGGCAACAGAGTGAAACACTATCTCAAACAAACAAACAAAACAGAAAACAGGATAAGAGAGGTTAATGCGAAAACCATCTGTGGCATATTTCCTATCAAATTTATTTCTTCTTAAGGTGTCTGCCACAGCATTTGCACAATTTATGGTTACAGTAATAATTATATTCACCATAACTATCAAATGACTTAAAATACTTAGTACATATTATAAACTTCAATATTAGCTTGTCAAATATTCTCTCAGAAGTTCAACTTAACATCGGCTATGAGGTTTCTTAAATCTTACCATTCCACTTTTTTATGATAATCAAAAATGCATAGATAATTTTAAGAAAATATTTTAAAAGTATAAGTTGCATTACATTTGTTTGATAAATAATGTATACTCGATGCTCTTCTTGAAGAATCACAGTTCAAATTACTATAATAAAGTCTTCAAGTGATACTCTAATAAAAAGTGTGTGGTCTAAACCAAATGTATTTGCCTATAGACCCTTTTTCCATATTATATTGGTAACAATCTCAAATTTTAGTGCTTTATAAAGCATACTTGGGAAAAAATACCTTGACTGATAAAATTGTTCACTTATGCCTACACTTAAGATGGGTTAGCCACTTATCATACTTACAGCAGTATCCTAAATAATTGATTCTCAATTCTTCTCAGAAATGCCAAATATAAGTTTTTATGGTCTACGTTAGTCCCAATATGGAAATGGGACCTGGTAATAAATCTATTTTATCAGCTAAATCTTAAGACTCTAAAAGGCCTATAAGTAAAGACAATTTTATATGCTTCTTAAATACTTTACATTAGAGGAAGCTTTTCAATTTGGAAAATTGTGATCATTTGAAGAGTTACCAGCAGTCCAAGGAAACAATAAAAATAAAATATTATGAGCTTAGAAAAACAAGTATAACTGAACAAGTAGTCTAGATTTGTAGAGCTCCCATGTAAAAAAAATAAATGAATAT
Source organism: Homo sapiens (assembly GCF_000001405.40). Taxonomy (NCBI): domain Eukaryota; kingdom Metazoa; phylum Chordata; class Mammalia; order Primates; family Hominidae; genus Homo; species Homo sapiens. Next base: position 164,628,857 of record NC_000005.10, read on the forward strand.
AACATCATAGTCTGTTCACCCAGTAGGAAAAAGCCTGAAAAGGGAGAAGGGGTATTTACTGGAGAGTAAGATGATCAAGGTCAATGTGTGGACAAAGGAATGTGGTGGGGAGAGTTTGCCAGGAAAACTGGAAAACCAGTGCTTGAGACTCTAGCTTCTCTGATTGCTAACATGGGGGGTAGAATTCTAGAGACAGATGTTGGTCTAAGATTCTTGTGTTATGCCAGGTAAGCTCAATAAGATTCATTGAATAAAATTGTGCCATCAATGTTACAGTTTAGATGTTTGATTGCTGCTGATTTTGAATTCCAATAGAAATCATAGTGATTTAAAATGAATAGTAAAGAAAAAAACTGGTACTATTTTATTCATGGCATATCCTGCTGGACTTTATCAAAGATGGGCAAATAAGTACAACTAATCACCTTTGCCTGTATTCTTTGAGCTCAAGGAAATTCATGTTATAGTATTCAAAAGTAGAAGCTCTTTGGAAGAAATGCATGGTTAGCTAGGCATTTATTGTTTATTTAATAAATAAACAGGTGGATAATTATGAAAATTAGAGCTGTCATCCCTTAAGGTCTAAGTTTTCCTTGGAGGACAGGTTATTCTAGAAAAGTGGGTGTGTATGTCTGGTTTTCCTTAAAATGAAGACTTCTGCAAAAACAGTACGTTAACAGCAGACATGATTTCTCTAGGGAATATCAGTTTCTCAGTTTCTATCACTTCTATCTGTTTGTCTCAGCTTCTTTTTGTTCCCCTGAATCCCCTCCACAGTACACTGGAATCTCCCCATTCTCAAAACTTGAGCCCTTAGGAAAGGGAGACATAGAAGGGCTGAGTCAGAAGTTGTTATTCTGAATAACCCTCACTTCCTATGCACATATTGGATGTTCAACAAATTATAATTAAATTAATTTTTAAAATTGGGACTAGATTTCTGCCATCAGGACATTTACTTACTTATCAAAAGTGATAGAAATTCCTCTAGACCTATTTACAAAGAGGAGTCAAAACCATGGATGTTCAGGTTAACCTGGGAGTCCAGATGGTATTTTGTTTTGTTTTGGTATTATTTTTTGATGGAACAATTCCAGGTTTCTGTAATTAACCTCAGGCAATTTTTTCAAAGAAAATAAAATCTCAAATAAATGAAAACAAAACAATTCCAACATCTGTACATGTATTCTAAAACATATTTTAGATTTTGTTTAGCTGGGCAAATATTGCTAGTAAGTACAGAATTTTAATATCAGCTAGACTTTTAGATAATTTTGATTTTTGAGCACCTTTTTTAGAGATTTGACTAAATTATAGCCCCTCAGTGCTAAGGTAAAAAATAATCTTTATTAAAATTAAGAAGTTTTATGATATTTTGTAAATGCTTTTGGTCATTTTAAAATTCATCCTGGTTTTCCTATAGATAACACATATCGTTTCTTCTTTTTCATTTCCAGGATAGGTCTGAGTTTACCCTAAGGCTGGGAAACCAAGCAGACACACCTAAGTTGTTCAATTACCTTCAAATTTTTAATACTATACCATTCTGACTCAAATTAGGCATGTTATAAAGCCTTTTTTTTTGCTTTGATAAAGAATTTCTGTGTGATTTTCTTTGCCTTTTGTAACGTGTTCTTTTTCTTTCTTCAAACATGTATGACATAAATAGAAAACATATTTTGATTTTATTGCTTCTGAAACATGAACATAGAACATATGAGTTAAAAATATGTGGATATGCATATATGTAGCTCATTAACTGTAATAAGAAACAGTGTGTATAGTTCTTAATTGTAGTGTTACTACACTACACCACTCAATCACTTCTACATTTTTATTTTGAAAAATATTTTACTGGTCTGTGTGTTCTCTAATATCTGCTCTTGTAGATAAAGCTCCTCTTTCCTAGACCAGGAAGCTAGTTTTAGAAAAAAAAAAATAGAAATGTCATGCACTACATATATAAGTATCTTTCAAGGCAAGGTTAATTTTGTAGCAAGAACCTACACCATTGATTGCCAAAGTTATGGGTGCAGAAAACAATGAATCCCAGTTCCATTTTCTGCTATTATTAAAAATCTGGAAATAGTTTTCTGATGGCATCTGGATCAACTACCAGAATATAGTCACTGCCTACCATTAATAATTTTTAGCAGACCAATATGTTCACAGCATATTTTAGCGTATATTATGAAGAAATTGTCCAAAAGGAAGAAAAGTCATTAAGTGCTATGTTTCCAAATTCGGTTGATTTTTCTTTTGAATACTTAAGTTGCAGTTGCCTTTTTTGGACAGATGATCGTCTTCCATTACAGAAAAAGAAGCAGAATTACATTCATTACTAGTGTTGATTTTTATTTTAGTTGAAATATATCAACATTATGTGGGACAAGAGAGCATGTGTTTATTGAAAAAAGAGTTTAAAATAAAAGGAAAATAAAAATATGACTAAATGGAAGTAATCAGAATTAAGACAGGAAGAGGAAAATTATTATAGTAATAAAGTAGATACAAATCACATATAAGCTAACACTGCAAAGAACATATTTTAAAATTCTAATATTTGTCATTCTTAAGCATCTCTAAATCCAGTACTCCTTAAAATTTAATGTGAATTCAAATTCCCTGGGCATCTTGTTAAGATGCAGATTCTGATTCTTGGAACCTGTGATTCCGAGAAACTACTGCAGATGCTGTTGATCTGTGCACAACACTTGGAGAGGCAGGGTTGGAGCACAACCTGAGAACTCAAAGATTTGGAATGTCAAACTGAGTATCAAGTGTACAGATAATAGCTAGTTAAGTTGAAGAGATTAAAAAATATGAAATTTCAAGATCACAACGAAAATACATAGAACATAGTTAATGAAATACTATCCTGTAAATTTTACACAATATGTTATTGAATGGAAATTCTTTTTTTTTTTTTTTGAGACAGAGTCTTGCTCTGTCTCCTGGGCTGGAGTGAAGTGGCGCAATCTCGGCTCACTGCAAGCTCCGCCTCCCGGGTTCCCACCATTCTCCTGCCTCAGCCTCCCAAGTAGCTGGGACTACAGGGACCCAATTTTTATACAGAATAAGAAATGTAAGACAAATACTTGCTGACTCCTTGAAAGCTGAGGAATTAATCATGTGCATTTTACTTCAACCATTCTTAGTCTGACCTCTGAAGATAGACTTAACAGTGTTTATAACCTCCTCAGAAATATTTGAAGGATTGAGTTGTGACCATATGTGTAGATTTTTGTTGGTTTGTTTTATTTTTTGAGGCAGAGACTCCCTTGGTCACCTAGACTTGGAGTGCAGTGGCGCGATCTCGGCTCACTGCAGCCTCCACCTCCTGGGTTCAAGTGATTCTCCTGCCTCAGCCTCCTAAATAGCTGGGATTACAGGCACTCCCCACCACGCCCTGCTAATTTTTGTATTTCTACTAGAGTTGGGGTTTTACCATGTTGGCCATACTGGTTTTGAACTCCTGGCCTCAAGTGATCTACCTGCCTCTGGCCTCCAAAAATGCTGGTATTGCAGGTGTGAGCCACAGCACTCGGCCTGTGTAGTTATTTAGAGGGGGGCATCATAAATTCCAGACGTGAAATGGTTATAGGAAAAAGGGTGGAGAGATTCTGAACTATGATTCTTCACTTATCTACTTTGGGAGAAAGGTGTCTGTAGTATAAGAATCCTATCTATATGTATCTATAACTATACACATTTACATCTATATGTATGTGTACATCTGGATGCATGTGGATAGACACACATATATGCACATAACCACACTGTGTTTATAATTAGCTGGCATTCTTAAAGGAAATTATTCTTTTTCTTAAGTCAAACATTTCTTTTCCTTTTAGTCTATTTACTACCGAACATCCTTTTGTGTAATTATACATAAAAAATAGGTAATATAACAGTTGTGCTCATATTGAGGAATAAATGATCTATACCTTTATTTCAATGCATCTGGGACAGGAAATATCTATGCTTAATATTTATATGCTCTACCACATTGATTTGGAATTATAACCACAGCAAGTCCAAGTTAATTTATCATTTTGAAACAATTATTACCCTTCAATTTGCTTTGTGAAAAATTACATGAACAAAACATGCAAGAACACAATTCAGAACTTGCATTAAGTGGTAAAAAATGGAAATAAAAAGGAGCAGTCAAACTACATCAATTTTCTTAAAATGAACAAAGTGCAACATTTCCACTTCAATTATTTGATGTTCCTACAAAATTTTGTATTAGGAAATTATTTTATTTAGTCACCCTAGAAGCTAGAAGAAGCAGCCATCAAATGAACTTAGGCTGTTTGTTTTGGGAAAACAAAATGTAAACATTTAGCGACAGAAAGTGAAGTGTAAGATTGTCTTAAAGCATCTTCCCATATGATGGGTTATTGGTTATTTCTCATTGGCTAATTGTACTGGACCTCAAAGAAGATGGAATAGGGAGTCACCAGGAAGCAAAGGGAGTAATTATGTTAAATAAAGGTTTTATTTAGCTTAAGGTTAATTAAACAGTCTTCCAAAAAAGAATGTGAAATAGCTCAGAAGCCACCTATTATAAACCAGAATCATAGTCCAGTTGATGGTATCATTTCAGTGTGAATTGGCCTGTTTGCAACTGACAAAATTTCACATATATCACATTGTCAGAGCTTCATAAAATATATATATATGTATATACACACACACACACACACACATATATAAATATATATATATATACACACACACATACAATTTAAATATGTATTAATTTTAAGATCCCTATTGGGGACAGCCTTGTTATTAATACAGTGAAGAGCAGATGCTGTAGCATATGGCATACTAACTCATATTTATGTTAATTTTATGTAAATAGGATTTTAATACAGTTACATTAATCTGTTGTTGCATTGATTTTTCTGATATATCACTTTAGATGAGATTAATATAGGTAGTTTAGACTGCTGAAAAAGTCCTTTTTAGGAGAGTAAAGAGCAATGGCTTACTTAAATTTTTAACACATATGTTTAAATAGAATGTCAGTTCCATTGAAAAACTAAGAATATATCTAATTCTTGTTCTCTTGCGCAAATTTAAGCAGATTTTTAAAATACAAATGAAAAACAGTATGATGTTGGTGCAGAAGATAAACCTAAGTTTTTTTTTCAACTAAATAGCTATCAATTGAATACACAAAACAGACTGAAAGAAAATTCCCCAAATTATGTACTTAACGTGGGGATGCTATTTTCAAGTGTGTGTGTCTGTTTTTATAAGTTAAAATATTAAGTGACCACTATTTATATTAAAGAGATCCTGTGCCATTGTATTTTAACATCTGCTTTTAGATTGTAAACACAAGATGTACCCTAGTTATTTTGTAAGCAATACAGTTTTAAGAATAGAAATATAATACCTAATGTTAATAGATGAAACAGAAAAAATTTACCTCTTTAGTTTACTCAGTATTGTACTAACATTATATTAAATGAGATAGAAAATGGACTATTTGATACTACTTTGATATTTATAATGAATTACTATTAAATAGTATATTAACATACTGAGTTTTATTTCAATTTATATCATGAACTATAACATTATTATACTATATCATCTCTTATAATCTAACATTAAAAGACATTTAAAATAGAGAATAAAAATCACCTAAATCTCATCCCCATAATATAGTTTTGTTGGTTTAGGACCCGGATTTGAAGGATCCTAGGAAAGTAGATTGCTTCTAGCATTTGCCCACTAAAAACCAATAATTTTTAAGGTGATTGACAGACATTTTTTATTTTTTTATTTTAGTAGAGACGGAGTTTCACTATGTTGGCCAGGATGGTCTTGATCTCCTGAGCTCGTGATCCACCCACCTTGGCCTCCCAAAGTGCTGGAATGACAGGCGTGAGCCACTGCACCCAGCCCAGACTTTTTTTAAAAAAGGTCAAGTTTATACTCATATAGCTATGAAGCAGGAATACATGCTATTTTGCTTTTGTGGTTTGATCAATTCAGTCAAGACCAAGTTAGATATTTAAAATTATACAATTCTAGACTAAGATGAGAAATGAATGTAAATTAATCCAGTATGAAGTCAACTTACAAAAGTAAATATAATCTTTAGTGATCTAAACATTAATGACATTTTTGTGAGACATTGATGGATATTTGAGTCAAGAACTGACACAGTAATGGAATAGAATTAATCTAAGTTCCTAATTCCCTAAATTTATGGACAAATCTAAATTTCAACAAGTAATTTTTACTCATTTGGATTCATTTATGATGCCTGTGAAATCTATTTTGTGAAATAAATTTACCCATAAATTGATTTAAAATAAATACTTATAATTAAAACCTTTATTATTTGATAACATGGAAAATCATGACACAAAATAGTCCTAGATTAATTATGAAGGAAATATCTATTCACTAGTTAGTAAGTAAGCCTATGCTGAAATTTAAATGATGGGTTAGATTTCGTTTAACTTGTTTGGGGCAGAATACATTGTTCAATGAAATATTTGGGACTCAGGATAATTTTAACATAGAAAATATGTACTTCCCCACATGACCTCATACATCGTTATAGAGCAATGTTTTCTGCAGCTATTCAAGTTACCTTTTCTTTTTAAGATGGCGTCTCACTCTGTTGTCCAGGCTAGAGTGCAATAGTGCTATCAGAGTTCACTGCAGCCTCTACCTCCTGAGCCCAAGTAATTTTCCCACATCACTCTCCAAGTAGCTGGGATCACGGGTGTATGCCACCTGGATAATTTTTTTTTTTTTTTTTTGGTAGAGACAGGATCTTTCTGTGTTGCTCAGGCTAGACTCAAACTCAAATCAACGTGCTAGGATTACAGGTGTGAGGCACTATGCCCCACCCAAGTTACCATTTAAAGTGTAATCCTAGGTGTCTTATAAATATGGAAGTTAATGGCTGCTATGATAACACGAAAACTCTTTTAGCTGCTGAAATTTAACTACCTTTTGAGCATATTATTAGGCATGTAAAATTGTCTAGCTGGAATCCTGGGTTTTTCGGAGTCAAGCCATCCTTTACAACTGGGGTATACACTCAGATAATTTGTGTTAGATGAAATGTGATCCCCTGAATTTAAGTGGAAAGGCATAAGATGACATCTCATCCTGTCTCATGACATGTGCAGTATATTCTAAAGTGGTTACTTACATATCTCATACAAAGAATACAATTTATGTATTTATTGTTAGTGTTTAAAAGTTTGGTACCAAGAATGCCATTCCTGTCAATGGATTGTCATTGTAGCTTGCTGACTATATCTATTCTTTTACATTTTTAACAAATATTGAGAGCAACAAAGAGACTCTATAAATTCTTCTCTACATATAACATCCTGGATAACTGAAATAAACAGTAATTTCTTGAGAGATACACATTCATAATATTTAATGTAGGAAATGACAAGGAAGTAGGGAGAGGCAGAAAATAAAGCATGTGCAACATCCTAAGTTACCTACTAAATGTGTTGGTAAATGACAATACAATGAGAACACAGAAATAAGAATCATACTGTTGAAATGATTAGATATTTTATTCAGGGGAGAACCATTATTTTGAAAGGTCAGTAAATTCTCTTTTTATTCTCAAAAACTGTGGTTATTGGGATGTCCTGGGAATTTACAATCCAGCCACAGTGAAAGGACAACTCATGTCATCATTGGGAGAATACGATCAGATCATATATCTTTACTTGACAAGAGCTGGCAATTTAATCTGACAAGATTCTTGCCAATGAGGACAGCTTTAGGAGTTCAACTGCTGTGGTAAAGATTTGACATGTCATTGAGGGATGTTGTGCAGAAGCCTGACAATAAACTGGGACTTGCTAATGCAGTTTAGGATTGCTGTAAAAATTTATTAGAAACCAGAGACTGTAAAATTACTATACTCCTTTAGAACTGTTTTTCTTTCCCTTGCTGAATATTTATGTGATGTTTAATGCAGAGCACATGTTTTAAAACTTGTTTCCTGATGGTGTAAAAGAAGTCTATTATAATGCACATGAAATTGCACAGAATTCAATTAAATGCATGAGAGAGTAAGTAGAATGTCCACCTGTAACCCCATTTTGACAATTTTTATTTTTCATTGATGGTTTTGGTGTCTGTAAATTTAAGGAGTTTCAATAATGGCTCTTATGTGGTAAGAAACAAAAGATATTTACATTCAATTCGGGACTAATTTAACAAGAACTTAAAAAGCATGTATGACTTGGAGTAGAAGCATTTTATGTGTTTTATTCAGAAGGGAAGAAGGGAGAGTCTAAATCTAAAGCAATTATTAATTGGCAATGCAATTGCAGCTGCTGGTGATTCTGTATAATCCACACTAGGTCCCTAAAGGGAAACAAAAAGAGATAAGGTAGACCCATTATGATTCTGTATCTGTCTTTGTAGTATACCAGCTTTTTAAAAGGTATTTCCATATAATAATATGGGTCAACTAATTCCTAAATGTAAATCAGAAGATACTGTACTTTTTCACAACTCCAAATGTGTTCGGCCCACAATTTAAGTGGAAATACTAATAATCTATCAACAAATAATACTAAACGTGCCCACCCAACCTTCACTTGCACATCTGTTATATTGAAGGCAATATGCTAACTGTGGTGGGATGGAACTATAAGGGACACAATCAAAAATATGCGGTGTACCAAACAAGTACTTAGGAACTGAGAGTGATTCATCATGAGAGATAGAAATTCAAGGTGACTGGCCAGCATAGACAACATAATTAAAGGAAGAGATATATTGATTTGAAGTTTTTCCAACCTACCTTCCAACTGTACTTTAGGATCTTAAAGGTATCTCTCACCTGATAAATCCATTGTATGAATTTACTCAAGCAGCTCTAACCATTTTATTCTCTGCTCTCTATTTATTCAGTCTTTTCTTGTTCTCTTCAGTAAAGGATGAACTCCATTCTAGGCGTCCTCAACAGGATTCCTTAACTCTGCATCTCTTCTCTCTGCCACAGGTACCTAGGGAAGGAGGCATGACACTATCTGGGAGGAAAGAGTCACATTGGGAAGACTCTGAAATGTTCAAAAGAATGACAGGACAATCAGGAATACCTACGCAGAAAATATAGTTTGGCAGTCAATCTATCATTGCTTTATTCCTTTTTAAGAATGGAGCATTTTTTTGCCTTGAGTGTTTTGACTGCTCACTGTGTTGCATTTCAGACTCTGCTGCATTTCCTCTGCATTCGCTTTTTTTTTTTTTTTTTTTTTTTGCAGACTTGGCACTTTTATTCCAGTTCACACTAATTGTGATTACTGACTTGTGCCTGGATGGGAGGCTGCCAAAAGGGCAGGTATCCCAGAGAGACATCATTACCCAGGTTGGCAAATACCTGGGAGCCCGATTTAATGATACAATCTTATTTTTATAGCATGGGGCAGGCTTCCAGTTTCACAGCATCGGTTCCTGGCTGTAATATTGTTTGGCAAGAGCCTTTCATATTCTTTTGCAGAATAAAAGGAAATAAACCATGGGGATATAGATCAATGGTAGATGATCAGATACCTGGGCAGAGTTGAGAAGATGTGACTAGCTCTAGGGTAAACATATTTATCTAATTGCTGAAAAATAAAAGTTGATGACTTGCCTAGAATAACTTGGAAAATTATCTACATAAAAATTATCTTTCTGTAGATAGTTAGTACTTTTTTTTTTTAACCAGAGGTTGCTCTGATATTCATTCAGGAATTGAGGTCACTGCTAAGTCACTGAAAACTAAATGGGTCTGGTATGACAGGGGCCAGAGAGTCTTTGCAGCACCCAGCAGGATATGTAGGACCGTCTTCATATTCATTGTTATATTTTAGTGCTGCATACTCAAAAAAACTATATGTGCTCTCCCTTTATTTGCATAATGATTTTTAAAGGAAAAAGTAATAGATATTAATATTATATATTTCATGTAAAAAATTCTAACTGTAAGTTCTCCTCCCCTGGATTCTGAATCCCTATTACCAATAGTAACCATTATTACAAATTATTATTGTGTAATTCAAAAGCTTTCTACATATGCAAACAAATATGTGGGTGTACTACACATACACAGGCACTCCATTAAAATGCATAGATTAAAACAGAGTGTAAACACTTTATTTTAATTTGCTTTTGTGGAGATTGTATGTGTCAATACATATGGAAGTCTAGCTTTCTTTTCAATGACGGAAGAGTAAAATAATACCACATTGCATGAATTTGCTGAATTTCACAGTACCTTTAAGGACATTTATCATTTACATTGCCAGAAATGAATCATTTTATATGTACCTCTGAACACCTTAAAGGAGAAAGTCTTTTGGATTCATTCCTGAAAATGAAACTACTGGTCAATGATTTGATGATTTACATTATAAAAATATTTTATTAAATCACTCAAAAAATTGCCCCAGTTAACACTTACCACAATACATAGGAAAGTGCCTGTTTTTTTTAACCTTTGCTGATACTGTGTATTCTCAAACCTTTTAAACTTTATCTTTTTCAATCTGATAGGTAAAAAGTAGAATCTCATTTACATTTTTTAAACTACCAGTCTAATGAGTGAATAGAACTTTAGTAACATTTTAATGTGGGTGACTCAAGCCCATCTTGCAGCTGTAAAAGTTAAGAGACCCCATTTCAAATTCACAGAATTGCTCAGTGTTAGTGATTCTCTTCTAATCAGAGTAAATTAACCAGCATATAGATCTTATTTTAAAGGACACTAATTCAAGACCACCAGCTAAACATATTGTGGATAATTATGGTTTTGAAAATTAATGGTTAAAGAAGGGGAAAATTTTTAAAAAGATTCTAGGCATATAATTACACTCAATTTAAATCAATCTTTATCGTGATAACTTAAGTATCTAGCTGCAGGCGAGTATTATGGCAATAGAATTTTTACAGTACAAATCCTGAAGTGCAGAAAAGTTTCAACTCAGAGAAAACAGGTGAAAACAAAACAAAAAGAGGTTTATTTATTATTAAATTAGAGTGGTATTTTCAGAAAAGTGCACTTTCTCAATAATAACAGTATCATAGTTATTTATAAGTCTATAAGTATTCAATCTAAAAAACCAAAACACATGGTAAATACCTATACTGTACCAATGCAGTTGCTAAGATATCCATTTAAACTGTGTCAATCCTGTGAATTTTTTTCTATTATTCCATGAGACAGCTCAAACTTTGACTCTGTTGCTGTGTGCTTTCCAGGCCTTTGGATCACAAGACACAACTTCCATTTTCCTAGTTAAATCTCATCCATAGGCCGGGCATAGTGGCTCAAGCCTGTAATCCTGGCACTTTAGGAGACTGAGGTGAGTGATTCACTTGAGGCCGGAAGCTTGAAACCAGCCTGGCCAACATGGTGAAACCCCATCTATACTAAAACTACACAAAATTAGCCAGGTGTGGTGGCAGGCACCTGTAATCCCAGCTACTGGGGAGGCTGAGGCAGCAGAATCGCTTGAGCCTGGGAGGTGGAGGTTGCAGTGAGCAAATATCACACCACCACACTACAGCCTGGGTGACAGAGTGAGACTAAATCTCAAAAACAAACAAAAATCTCATTCATAGCTTTTACAAATGGTTTAGTAGAGAGAAAGAAAAAGAAGCATCTTAACCTCTATGTAGGGCAAAACCTTACATGATACTATTCTATAGCCTTTTCTTGGTGACCCATTTTAAACTTCCACTAATGAAAATGATCTTCTTGCCCCCTTTTTCTACTTATTGGGATTTCTTGCTTACAAATAAATCCCACATTTCTCAGAACATTCAACTTCATACTTTCAAAAGGTAAATCTCTTTCCAGGTAAGAGACTTACTGGCAATTTGTGTGGAATGAATCAGATTTTCAATTTCCCCATCTGCTATCTCATGCTCTCTTACAACCCTATTTCTCAAAACAAAATGCTCTCAATTTAAAGCTACTAGGTAGGGAGAATATCTTAAGTCTCCAATATACTTTAACTAAAGAACACAGGTAGAAAGAAACCTTGTATACTAACTCATGCATTAGCACCAGTACGTAGGGGTACTTAACAGAAAAAAGAAAAAGTTGTTTTTTCATACATAGTTAAATGCCTATCTAAGGATTTGAATTCATAAGATAAATACATTACAAAATGCAGTACTAGCAACTCCAAAACATAAATATCTCATTTATGCAAAATGTATTTTTAATTCACCTTATATGTCCCATAGAAAGATATGAACCATACAATTATTCACGGATCCAGGTTGTCCAGGCCTCCACCATATTTTCTGTTTGAAACACAGAGTTGATTGGACATCATGAAAGGGAAATGAGAAATTAGAGAATGGGTATTTTGTTGCCTCTGTCTGTAAGTGACATATATGATTTCCAATAAAATTTGATTTCCTAGAATTTATCACATGCTTCTGCCCAAATAATAGAGGTCTATGGAGTCAAATATTCTGTCCACACAAAAGGAGAAAAGAGGATATTGGTGAAGACCAGTAATTTCTACAAAATGAAATTTCCCTAAATGATATAATGACTTATTATGAAACTATAGTAATTAAGAGAATATATTACTGACAGAGTTTAGCCAATAAACCAGTGAAATATAATAAAGAGCCAAAAAGAAATCCCTCCAAAATTGGAACTTTGATCTCCCACAAAGGTGAATCTCACATTAGGGCAAAAAGGAAAGATCATTCAACAGAGGTGGAAAAATGGTTAGATAAATGTAAAAAAAAAATGGAACCAAATATCTCATATAACAACAATTATCTCACTATTTTTCAAAGGTGTTCAATGTAAGGAAAAAAATTAAACTCACAGTTAAAAATAGAGATAATATCATTTAGAGCTTGAGTAGGGAGAAAGTTCTTAAACAAAAGGAAACAATGTAACTACCTGTATATTATAATCAAGAGCTTTTTTCCTCAGGTACCCTAAAAAAGTTTTCTTTAAATGATAACACCAAAACCATACAAAAAAAATGAACACATTTTCAATGCACACAACCGCCAATGTGTAGATGAATATACTGTAACATTTACACAATGGATTATTTCCACCAGACAAATTAAATAAGCCATAATGTAATGCAGCAAGAGGTGAACCTTTGCAATATTATATTAAGTATAAAAGTCCCTAACAGCTAGATATTGCCTGATGCCCTTTACACAAGGCAGGAAAAAAAATCTGAAATATAATTCAAACAAGAAGACTTAAGGAATACATATAAATGCAATAAAACTATATTAAAAGGGAGGCAAAGAAATGGCAGACACCTTATTTTGTGTTATAGATTGTCTTCCCAGTATTACATTATTAAAAGTAGCTAACAAATTAACTAATAATGAGAAGGTGCTTTGAACCAAAGATTATGGTAAACCCAATCTGTGAACTAGGCACTTAAAAATTTAATAGAACACAAAGTTGTATTATACATTGTTTTAGGAAGGCATTTTCACAAACACAGTATAGGGGCCCTGATTTAGCAAGTATTTCTGTTAAAAAGAAAAAGAAAAATGACATTTTTAGTTGGACATCAGCTCCACATAAGCCAGTCATATATCATAGCTGTGTAAAAGGTTGAAGTTAAACCTGTGAAATGAAGATTTGTAGTATTGGCTGGGTATGGTGGCTCAGGTCTGTAATCCCTGTAATTCCAGTACTTTGGGAGGCTGAAGCAGGCAGATCACCTGAGGTCAGGAGTTCAAGACCAGCCTGGCCAACATGGCAAAACCCCATCTCTACTAAAAAAATACAAAAATTAGCTGGGCATGGTGGCACATGCCTGTAATCCTAGCTATTCGGGAGGTTGAGCCATGAGAATAGCTTGAACTAGGGAGGCATAGGTTGCAGTGAGCTGAGATGGCACCACTGTACTCCAGCCTGGGCGACAGAGTGAGACTCTGTCACAAAAAAAAGAAAAGTAGTATTCCTCTGAGCTAAAGTTCTCCTTCCACCCACATTATTCTAATGTCATCTTAGTTAAATATTTAACTGTTTAAATGTTTGAATTGAACATTTACTAAATATATTAGAAGAATTCTCTTAAACTCAATTTTCTCCTTTATAAAATGGGGATCACAACACTAGGGATATCTCCATTGGTCAATGCCTAGCATAGGGCAAGCCCACAAGTAATAAACTGTTATCATCAATTTCATAGTTTTCTTCCTTTTTTTCTGGATTTCAGAGAATGAGGTTTACAGAAATCAAAGTTATATCAAAGATAATAATAGAAACTAGATACATTTTGCTTAGAGAAGATTTCTAGGCTAGGCTAAGATACTCTGGAGGAGTCTGGAGAGGAACATAGATTTTTTTTCAAACATGTTTAAAAATTGTGATGTTAAATGAAGGTTAGATCCATTCAGGTTTGAAAATATTCTAACACAATAGAAAGGCTAGAGCCATTTGGTGGCTTGAGAGAGCAGAACTAGAACTAGTTGGTGGTGATTACATGAAAGCAAAATTAAGATCAGAATTTAAAGAAACTTTCTAATTAAGGACTGGTCCAAATTTACAATGAATCACTCTATAAAATATATCTTACAGCTGAAAATGTTACAATACAAGTGGGATAACTTACATATGGATCCTAACCCTGGATAATATCATCGAAAATCCCCTTTCTTGCTTCATGTGTAATGATAGAAAACAAAGTAAAAATGTAAAAATTAACAGAATACAATTTCTTCAAGTAAGGCTGTGACTTCTTAGTGCTTGGGCACTGTTTCCTATGGCTTATATAACACAATACCACAAACTTGGTGGTTTAGAACAACAAATAATTATTCTCTCAAAATTCCAGATGCCAGTTATCAAAAATCAGTTTCAGTGAGCTGAAATCAAGGGGTTGGTAGGGCTGTCTCCAGAACATCTAGAGAATAATTTCTTCCTTTTCTCCTCTAGCTTCTGGCGATTGCCAACATTCCTTGGCTGGTGGCTGCATCACTCCAGTCTTTGCCTCCGTGGTCAGATTGCCTGCTCCTTTACTGTTGTCAGATTTCCCTCTGCCTCTCTCATGTGAAGACACTTAATGATCGCATTTAGGTCCCAGCTGGATAATTCGGGATAATCTTACACTAGCTCAAGATCTTTAATGAGTCTCATCTGCAAAGTCCTTTGTTGCCACATGAAGTAGCATTCACAAATTCCATGCGGTAGTGTGGTGTGGAGAGGTGGAGGGGGGAGTAATCCAGCCTAACACAGGTGCCTTCCATTTGAAACAGTTGATTTGATCATGTCTGTTTTTACTGATCAAGCCAACACTTTTAGAGAGCAAATCTACTTTTAGATTTGTTCACATGTCATTATCGTTTTGGCATATTCCTTAGGAAAGTTTTATGAGAAGTTAATGCTTCACATTTAAGTCAGTGCACATGGTGATTATCATAATCAAGATTATCCATATTTGACATTAAATATTATAGTGTGTTTCTTAATTAACATAAGCTTAAAAGTTTTTAATTTTTCCTCATGTAGGCCTCAGACTCAGCCGTGTAAGGAGAAAACTTTATTCATTTTCTTATAACAAAACTCATGAAGTCCACATTTTAACTTATGATAGATAACTTTGTCCATCTTAGGTAACTGATGACTTATAGTTCATAAGTTAGTCTTTTCAGCATTCCCTATGGTCCCTTCTAAACATGGGCACTATCATTCTCGCATGAAGCTGAAGTTGGAGTAGGTTAACTTGGGAATCTTTGGCTCTGCTTCTACAGCCCCAGAGAAGATGTAGCTTCTTTCTCCTGGTCCCTACCATCACAACCTGGCATACCCTGATGAACTCCAGCCCTGGGTACTGTGCACTCTGTGTATCTTGTCCTTACTTTAGTCTTCCTTTGTGTCTGTCACCTTGCCTTCAACCACTTCTCTGCACTTTTTGTGATGGTATAAGTTGTTCTTCCCACAATTAAGGCTTTTCTCTGAAGATTGGGGGTTTTCAGTCTGAATCCTGAGATGCGTAAAATATAATCCCTTCTGCTTTGGCAGTCTACTCCAAAGCTTTGGAGGTTTCTATCATAACTTTATTACTGAAGCCAACCCCCTTACGCCTTGAAATTTTCCTAAAGAAATAGCATGTGGACTACCTAGAAGTCAGAATTTTTACTTAGTTTGGAGAGAATAGTGGTATTTACATCATCCTCTCTTCTTCATAATTTACAATAAAAATCGAAGGTCAGAAAACTATGGTCCTTGGGCCAAATTCAGCTAACTGCACGTTTTTATATGGTCTTCAAGAATGGTTCTGCTTTTACACTGTTGGTGTGAATGTAAATTAGTTCAACCATTGTGGAAGACAGTGTGGTGATTCCTCAAGGATCTAGAACCAGAACCAGAAATACCATTTGACCCAGCAGTTCCATTACTGGGTATATACCCAGAGGAATATAAATCATTCTATTATAAAGATACATGCAAGTGTATGTTTATCAAAGCACTATTCACAATAGCAAAGACATGGAATCGACCCAAATGCCCATCAATGAAAGAATGGATAAAGAAAATATAGTACATATACACTGTGGAATACTATGCAGCCATAAAAAGGAATGAGATCATGTCCTTTGCAGGGACATGGATGGAGCTGGAAGCCAGCATCCTCAGCAAACTAACAGAGGAACAGAAAACCAAACACTGCATGTTGTCACTCATAAGTGGGAGGTGAACAGCAAGACACATGGACACAAGGAGGGAAACAACACACACTGGCGCCTTTTGTGGGAGGGCAGGGGGAGGCAGAGCTTCAAGATAAATAGCTAATGCATATGGGGCTTAATAGCTAGGTGATGGGTTGATAGGTGAAGCAAACCACAATGGCACATGTCTACCTGTGTAACAAACCTGCATGTCCTGCACATGTATCCTGGAACTTAAATTAAATTAAATAAAATATATCAAAAGAATGGTTCTTACATTTTTAATGATCAGAAAAATAAAATAAAAATAGAAGTATTTCATGGCATGAAACAAATACATAAATTTCAAAATTCAGTGTCCATAATTAAAGTTTTATTGGAGCACAGCCACACTCATTCATTTACATATGGTCTATAGCTGTTTTCAAGCTCCAATGAGAGTTGAGAAGTTGCAGCAAAGGATAGCCTGCAAAACCTAAAATATTTAATATGTGGTCTTTTACTAAAAAAATTTGCTGACTCCTGGTATAAATGGTTTACTTTTAGTTCTCAAAACTTTTACTTTTTTTTTTTTTTTTTTTGAGAGGGAGTCTCACTGTGTTGCCCAGGCTGGAGTGCAGTAGTGGCGCGATCTCGGCTCACTGCAAGCCCCGCCTCCCGGGTTCATGCCATTCTCCTGCCTCAGCCTCTTGAGTAGCAGGGACTACAGGAACCCACCACCATGCCTGGCTAATTTGTTGTATTTTTAGTAGAGACGGGGTTTCACCGTGTTAGCCAGGATGGTCTCGATCTCCTGACCTCGTGATCCACTCACCTTGGCCTCCCAAAGTGCTGGGATTACAGGCATGAGCCACTGCTCCCGGCCAACTTTTGCTCTTTCTATGTAAAGATAAATTTTTGGAATGAATAAAACAAAATAAAACTTCTCTCTAAGTGCCTGCCTCATACAACTGAAAACCTTGGCTTTAAGAATATTACCTTTGTAATACATTAACAAGAATCTACTTAAGGGCTCAAAAAAACCCTCAAAATTTGGCCTCATTCCTCTTATTATTCATATCCTGAGGGCAATGAATGAAGAAAAGTCTTGTATCTTGAATGGTGGAGGAAGGTTAGGGATTTAAAAAATTGAGAAGTCACAGGTTAATACAGAAAATTACCTCTGCTGTACCTCAGAAACAGAACTTGGATAGCATTTAAAATAAATTAATCCATTAAAAGTAAGTGAGAATTTTTTATTGATATGTTATCACCATTTAGTTTGTTTTCACACGTTAGGGGAAAATTCAATCTGCATGTGATCATATTGAAATGACAAATTAATAAACAAGATATAATATTACATTGCATTAAAAATGAGGATGAGTAGGCAATTCTCATTAAAACAATTTATTTGAAGGTTGCTCGAAAAAATTAAGCTTTATAAATACATTTGACAGAAATTCAGTTTGAGCTTTGCAGACTCGTACCTGTATAAAATGATTTTAAAAATTATGTCTAGGTTGGAACTAGCATGATAAAATTATTGTTCATTCTTCAATGAATTGGCAGACTTTCCATTAACAATTATAAAGCTCTTGCCAAGCTAAAACCGACATCAAATTAAATCCTCAAGCCAAGAACTAAAAAGTGCACAATACTTTTAGTTTCTTTTTCAAGATTTCTATTACATCACAAATTGGCTGTCCAATTATACATCTATATATAATTGTGTATATACACACAGGCACATCCATATATACATACATAAGTACACACCATATGTACATGCATACAAACATGTACATACATACTAAGTTTATGTACATAGTGTATATATGTGTGTGCATGTGTGTAGGTATACCTTATATTAGTATGTACTTTTATATTAGTATGTACACCTTATATCTCTATCTGTAGATAGATAGTTAGATATCTTATTTACGTATCACAGTGAATAAAGACAAATCCAGTATTTAGGCCACAATTGACTAAAATTATTGTTTGAGTTTCTAAATGCTTAATTACCAAGTCTTCAAAGGCAATGTCATTTGGGTTTTCTGGGACACATTACTTTGTAAATATAGAAATGGCTTTAGTCTTTTCATACTTTGCATCTAAATCTCATTCATCATCTAGGATTAGATAACTGTAGAAATACTAAATGTATGTTTTATATGTGTATCCTGTTTTAATATGTTTTAGGAAATAGATTTTCAAGGATGAATTAGCTACTATTGTTTCAGCTCCTAGTTGACAATAAAATATTATATATAAATTGTTCTCCTAACCTTAGCTGTCAATCACAACCTATTTTAATAGATTTCTTTATTAAATCTGTATCTCAAGTTTTTTTCTCATTCTACAAATCCATTTGAGTTTTTAAAAAATATTTGTTTTGACAGAGAGACAGTAAAAGAGGTGATAGAAAATAAGATTGAATTTAGGCATTTATGTATTTTCTTCATATGAAAAGTATCAGTGTGGTTAGAGTTAAAGAAAATTGTTTTATTTTGAAAATATTTCTTTCAATCTCCTTTCCAAGATGTGGATATCTTCAGTTATAGTTTCCCAATAAATTGGATTCAGTTATCAATATTTCTCATATTCATAGAGATGAAAGAAAGACAAACTTTTTTCTTAAAAAAATTAAGTAATTATTTGAAAAATCAGCAAAAGTAAAAGAATTCAATGCCATTTAGAAAGTCAGTATTTACAGAGTTCTATAGCATGGTAGTTTTTCCTTTTTATAAACTCTTACCATAGTTTATCATGCTAACCTTTAACAGGAGGGTACTTTAAAAGGCTGAGTAGATTCTACTTCATGTTTCATTTCTATGTACATATATTATAAATGATATGCTATTAATTAACATAGGGTAAATATAATAATTTATGCAGTCAGTCTTTGGAAACTACTGTTGCATTATTATATATAAAAAAACAAATGGGGTGTGTGTGTTCATGCACGAGTGTTCAATCCTAGTAAAAAGCATACATTTTGGCACAGATCTGGGTCTTTTTCTGAGACTCAATTTTACCATTTGAAATGCCAATAATGTAATTTTTTTTTTTTTTTTGAGACGGAGTCTCACTCTGTTGCCCAGGCTGGAGTGCAGTGGTGCAATCTCAGCTCACTGCAACCTCCGCCTCCGGGGTTCAAGCGATTCTCCTATCTCAGCCTTCCAAGTAGGTGGGATTCAGGCCCCCAACACCATGCCTGGCTAATTTTTTTTTGTATTTTTAGTAGAGACGGGGTTTTGCCATGTTGGCCAGGCTGGTCTCGAACTCCTGACCTCAGGTGATCCACCCGCCTCAGCCCCCCAAAGTGCCAATAATGTAAGATATCACAATGATTCAAAGTTACATCAAATATACGACATATATTTGAGGCTTAAAATGTAGTGCCCTTCCACTCCTTCTTCTCAACTCTCTATAGTATGATTTCAATTACTGTATTTAATTTGAAAAACTATACTTACCATTTAATACAAACTTTAAATTTTGACTCCTAAATTCTGTCCTAACCAAATAACCAATTATTTATTAATTCCATCTTTTCTTTTTCATTTCTAAGCAGACTCATTAGTGTTAAACAATCTTGCCAAATGATAAGTCTTATGGCAAAATAAATACAAAATTAGAGTAATGAAACTTTAGATATCTTCTAGCTGAACCTCTTATGTAATGTAGAAACTCAGGCCACAATATTTATGATGATGGTTCGTTCAGCCCCTTGTCTTCATGGTTCATCAGATAACTCTCATCAATTCAGAGGCAAGGCATCCAATTTTATTGGCTCTAATTACTTGGTATTTTTACTTAAGGAGAGCCAACATACAGCTCTATGTAACTTGATTCAGCTTTTTATTCCATATAAATGCTAAAACAGTCCTTCTCCTAAATCATCTCTTTTCTAGGTGAATCATAAGCCTCTTTGTCCCTTAAGTGAAACTGGTTTCCCTCCTCCTCCCCACTGAGATCTTATCACTATTACTGAGCCAGGGAATGAACTACACACATATTTTCTCACTTAATGATCACACTGATCCTATGAGGTGGGTGCTATTGCCACCCTTCCCTCACACTTTATTTTAGGTAACAGATGTGGAAATAAACAAAGAATGTTCAGTAACTTAATCCAAGTTACATAGCCAGTATGAGGTAAAAATTAGTAGTCTGACTCCATCAGCTAAACTGTTAAGCACTACAATAACATGGATGGGCTCAATTTTATAAATGCTCTTTGTGGAATGTAATTAAATAGAAAACTATGTTCTGGATATGATTTCACCAAAGCAAAGGACTTTGCTTGCTTTATCCTGAACACTCTTATAGAGAGTAAGAAATAATGTGAATTTATTTTTTTCTCTGTAAAACTAAGCAAGAATATTAATTTTGGGAGACAACCATCTATAGTTTCTTCTAAAAAAAATCTTCCCCCTTTAAATTTCAGAGGAACTTTAAGGGCCTCCTTCAAATCTGTGACAGATCCTATATTTCAGACAGAAGTGGGTAAAAATAGAGAATAGAAACCTTTTGTATGAGAGGAAGAATATTTAAGGTAAAGGAGAAATGCTGATCTCTTCTTTCTGGAATTTGGGGTATAGGTCTCCCAGAAGAAAATTCAATGGGAGGCCGGGCACTGTGGCTTATGCCTATAATCCTAGCACTTTGGGTAGCCAAGGCAGGATCGCCTGAGGTCAGGAGTTCGAGACCAGACCAGCCAACATGGGTGAAACCCCATCTCTAATAAAAACACAAAAATTAGCTGGGCGTGGCGGCACGTGCCTGTAGTCGCAGCTACATGGGAGTCTGAGGCAGGATAATCGCTTGAACCTAGGAGGGGCAGGTTGCAGTGAGCCAAGATCACGCCACTGTACTCCAGCTTGGGCGACAGAGTGAGACTCCGTCTCAAAAGAAAAATAAAAGAAAATTCAGTAGGAAAAATTATGGAAACTATGGTGAGGTACCAGCAGAGAGAGTCCCATCATCAGCCATGCTTGCCCCAGGCTCAGCAGTGGGAAGGAGCAGCAGATACATCATATATTTCCCTTGTTCAAGACTGTACAGTCTACTCTAGACCAATTTACTTTTCTGTAAAACCCCAGGGCAGTCACTTCTTTTACTTTCACATTAGCAGTGTCATTATGAAATAACATAAAGAACATGCCTCCTACACCTATCATTCTTGGTTACTGCCCAGTAAGTCCCACTGGTGATCAGTCTTCTTCAGAGTTTCATCTCCATCCTTGTCTTAACTCAGCTTTCCACTATTCCTCCCCTCTGCAAAGTATAAGTGCTAACCTCTACCCCCCAACACACACATGTGCAAACTAAGTATTCTTTCTATTGTGTACTGGAAATAATTTTTTCACAAGAAATGAACTCTATCTAGAGAGTATATGCTCCTTACCTTAACTGAATCCTGAATCCTGACTCCTTAGAGCATATTTTCTTTCTTTGTTTCTTTTTTTTCTTTTGAGATAGAGTCTCACTCTGTCGCCCAGGCGGGAGTGCAGTGGTGCTATCTCGGCTCACTGCAACCTCCACCTCCTGGGTTCAAATGATTGTCCTGCCTCAGCCTCCTGAGTAGCTGGGACTACAGGCACATGCCACCACAACTGGCTATTTTTTTTTTTTTTTTGTATTTTTAGTAGAGACAGGGTTTCACCATGTTAGCCAGGATGGTCTCAATCTCCTGACCCCATGATCCTCCCACCTTGGCCTCCCAAAGTGCTGGGATTACAGGTGTGAGCCACCGCACCCGGCCTAGAGCATATTTTCTGTCTCAAAAGAAATGTGCCTTTTTGCATGGCCCACATAGCTAAGGAGAGGGTAATGGCTTCAGCATCCTCCCTCCTCACTCACCAGAGCCACTTCAAGACCTTCATTTCTGCATCCTCACATAAGCTCCCGCTCCTTTCACAGCTACTGTATGAAACCTGTAGTCTACTTCTCGGCACACTCTTTCTTAACCTGTCAATTTCACAGGCATTCTTGCTCATTCAGTTAACATTTTGGGTACTTGTTTCAAAGTTTCTTTTATATTTTTAAATCACCCCGGCATTCTCAGTGTTTATAATATGACTATGGAAAATAAACTCAGTATCTTTTTATATCCTGCAATAGAACCACTTTTCTATATTAGTTTCCCAGCCCAGGGTCACACCATGAATTTTATTCTTACTCATTCCATTACTGAAATCTACAGGCTGCCAAATCTCATTCTGTGATGATAGCTTACACATCAACATGTCTTTGTTTTGGTTTTGTTTTGCTTTTTGCTTTGTTACACTTTCCACAATGGTTCAAATTCGTTAAGACCAGCAGTTCTTTGTTGCCTCTTTTTCTCCATGCCTTTAGTGGCTTCCTTAAATAGCTTAATCTAAAATACATGTGTTTTGGAAATATTCTCTATTCCAGTGCCTCATTTATTTTTCCAGTTCACCATCCTCGAAAAAATTGGGACCTGGGATGAGTTCAACCCTTCATCTTTGCAGCTACATTTGGGTTGCTCAATGCTCTTAGGAAAACACACAATTTCTTTCAGTTTCCTTTTTCCCTCACAGAGCAATGTAGCAGGCATAGGTTAGAAACTCCCTCAGCTCTCCGCCACCCTAGTTCGAAACGTTACACATTCACATGCATTTCCAACTCCATTTCCAACTAAGATGGAAGTGCTGTCCTTTCTTGTCCTGCTCACTGCTTCTCCTATGTTTCAAGCCATGCCCCTGCCTCCTCAAGGCGCCCACAATGTTAACTTTCCCTCTTTTTTCTGGTATCTTAAACCTCCTTCTCTGTTGTCTTTTTCCCATATCCAAGTGTCTTTCTTTTTTGTTTTTTTTTTTTTTTTAACTATTCTCACCCAATTTTATATTCACATTCAACATAGCTTCTCCTTTCTCTTCCTGTTTTTATTCAAGTATCCTGAGGAAATTGCCAAATATACTGGCCGTTCCTCCTTTGTTGGATGTAATTGCTTGGCTTCTTGAACAACAGTACACTGACATTATAGCTTTTTGTACCTTCCAAGTGCTTTAAAGGTTTTCTAAACAATGGCACTCTTGCTCCTAAATCCAGTAGACAGTTCTTTTCTTGCACTATGTCTTGGAAGTGTTTTAGATTATTTAACCAATTTTTCTTATTTTTTATTAAGGGATAATTTACATACATGAAAATTAATCCTCTTAGTATACAGTTATAACAGTTTTGACATATGTGTACAACTGTAGAACTAATAAAATCAAGATACATAGTAATTCCATCATCCCTTAAAATTTTCTTGTGTTCATGGTAACCAACCTCTCCCCTAGTCAATCCTCTGACCACCACTGATATATTTGCTGACCTTATAATGTTGCCTTTTCCAACATGTCATAAAAGTGGAGTCATAGAGTAAGGAGCCTTTTTGGCCTAGCTTCTTTCAAATAACATAGCGCATTTGTTGTGCACTTCATCACAATGTTGTTCTGTGTCTCAGTCCTTTTATTGCTATGTAGTATTGCA
Source organism: Homo sapiens (assembly GCF_000001405.40). Taxonomy (NCBI): domain Eukaryota; kingdom Metazoa; phylum Chordata; class Mammalia; order Primates; family Hominidae; genus Homo; species Homo sapiens. The sequence goes on from NC_000005.10 coordinate 164,653,028, forward strand.
CTGTATGGGTATACCTCAGTTAACCATTCACTGATTTCAGGATATTTGGGGTGGTTCTAGTTTTTGATAATTAACAATAAATCCTGTATAAACTTTGGGATATAGATGTTGATGTAAGCATAAGGTTTTATATTTTGTAGGTAAATTCCTAGGAGTGGGAGAGCTGGGTCATATACTAACTGTATGTTTATTTTTATAAGAAATTACCAAACTGTTTCTAGCATAGCCATGCTTTGTGTATTCCTACCAGCATAGCAGGAGAACAGGTACTCCAAATGCCTAGAAATCTGCCTGGGGATAGGGTGGACAGGGCCCCACAGCACTATATATTAGGGGAGCAGGCTGGGGCACCCAGCAATGGCACACACAGAATCAGTTGCAGGTCGCCAAACTGGCCCTATCTGTTAAGTCTTGCCACCTAGAAGAAACTGCAGCTGTAGCAGCTCTCCTTTCACCCAAGGCTTGCAGTGGGGGAGAGCACAATTCCAGCACCTACTGCTTAGGCACTTTCCACAGTTCTGGCTGTGGAGGCCCCCACCTCACTCCAGAGCAAGTGCTCCAATCTCTGGCCTGAGACTAAAATGCCTGCATGGCCACACTGCTGGCTTTCTAGGTGCCCAGATTAATAATGGCGTCCTGCTCTGAGTCCTGGGTCTGGGAGAATATCTGCAGATTTCCCAGTGTCTTTCCCTCCCAACATCTCCAAGCCTTTCCCCAAGTTAGCTCCAGGGACTGGAAGAAACAAAGTGCTCTCTTTCTGTCTCAGCTTGGGTTGCTGAGATCCCCATGGGAAAGGTAAATCACAGAGCAAGGCGCTCTGCTTCTCTCATTTACTGGGGCTTCACTCACTTTTATTAGCAGGATGCCACCATAGATGCTGTTTGCAAGCATTCTCCTCTGGGATCTGGAGTGTCCTTCATGATTCCAGTGGATTCCCACTTTTCTTCTTGAATTAAAGCCCATAGTGTTGATCTTTATGTAATATCTTGCTATTCCCAAGTGGCTGAGACATGCTAAAGCCTCTAATCTGCCATCTTGAGAGAAAAAAAACTGCCTTTTCTTTTTCTTGTCTTGGTACGATCTCCAGCAACATATAGAATAAAAGAACCACTCCTTTTTGTGACCCCCTTTCCTTGGCACCAACTTCCGTAAAAAAAATTTTCTACCTCCTTGATTACTTCTTCTCAGGCTCTTTCAGTCATCCTTTCTCTCTTCTTCTAAATGATCATTTTTTTCTCACTCTTTTTTTCTTCTTAATTTATACATGTTCACCCACCTGTCACTGAACTCATGATTTTCCTGATGTAGTTACTCTTATCACTGCCCTATCTACTCATCGAATTACTCTGAGTGAATATTGCATCTTAATTTCTCAAAAACACTTAGAATTATGTAGGTCCAGAAAACAGATAATTACTTCTTCCATCCCCTGCATTTGTGATCATAATGAATGATTCTAATAACCACTCACTCAAACCAGAAACCTGAGAATCTTGTGCATCTCTTCCATGCTTAATTTCTAAACAATACAAATTATCATTTTTCATTTCAGTATTAGCAATTTCATATGGTTCCAACAATACAAGTTATCATTTAACATTTCAGTATTAGCAATTTCATATGGTTCCATCCAACTAATATATTCATTCAACCACTAAATTATCATGAATATCTCAGAAACTAATTCACTTTTTTTCACCCATTGCTGTTGCCTCTATTCTAGATTCTATCACTTCTCTCTAGAATATACAATGACAGCCTCTCAGACGGTCTTTTTCTAGTTTCCCTCACGCCCTTTCCAATGCATTTTTCAGACTGTGGCCAGCCAAGTTAAAAATCTGATCATGCTAGAACTCTTAGCTAAATATTTTCATTTTTTTTCAACACCCTCAGTAAAATCCAAACTCTGTACCTCCAATTACCCTATATGATGTGGTGTTAGTTTAGATCTCTGTAGCCTCCCCTCTCACTACATCTCTCCTCTCTTTCAGTTTGTACTCTTGATATCACCCAATCTTCCCAAGCAATTCTACTGAAGTTGTGAATATGTTCCAGAGAAATAATACAACAAAACCTTCATTATATATTGAGATAAAGTCTTAAATTTGCTACTGATTCACAAATTTTATTCATACTCATTTTTCTATGTTACCCACAAAGACAATAGTTTCTTAATCACAGCCCTCCCCAATTTTTTATGATTAATGTGTGGATTTTTGTAGCATGCCAGAAAGTATTAACAAGGCATCATTATTTCTATTCTGCCTACCTGTTCTATACATTTGTTCATACTTGAGAAAATAAAAGATTTCTTAGCTTCGAGCTTTCCGTCTATGTGCTGAATATCATAGTTTCATCATCTGGTTGTAAGGCTCAATGAGAATATATATGAGAGGACATCCTGTAAAATATGAAGCTCTTTACAAAATGCTTACACTTGTCATTGCCTAGTAAGGTTAAAGTCCTTTCATTTCTTATCTATGAATTAATTTTCTATAAACCAAACCAATTGTACTGCCTATTACAATTATAAAAACTTCATACTGTTTGCCTCATTTCCATTGTAACCACGGGAATACATTTTTACCAAGAATTACCCAGGTGTTTTATAATGAATAAACTTTGAAAAAAGTTTTATGACTACATAATTTTTTCATGATAAAGGCAGCATGTCCAGGCTACATACATTAAATCTAATAGGACATCTCATTCATTAGAAGAGCTTTTGATTGAGAGATTAAAGTTCTTATAATCTCTGTGTTTAACATAGTTGTAATCTCTATGTTTAACAACCTTAAAATAACAAAAGTGCACAATAATAGTGATACATATAATTCAGAATACAAACGATTATCTATTTTCATGAGATTCTTGCATAATTTAACCAAAAATATTTTTATTTTAGTTTTTATTTTTTATTTATGTTTTTGATACAGAGTCTCACTCTGTTGCCCAGGCTGGAGTGCAGTGGTGTGATTTCAGCTCACTGCCACCTCTGCCTCCCAGGTTCAAGCGATTCTCCTGCCTCAGACTCCCGAGTAGCTGGGATTACAGGCATGGACCACTGTGCCTGGCTAATTTTTAGGAAATGGGGTTTCACCATGTTGACCAGACTGTTCTCGAAGTCCTGGCCTCAAGTGATCCACCCACCTCGGCCTCCCAAAGTGCTGGGATTACAAGCATGAGCCAATGTGCCTGACCCAAAAATATTTTTAAGTTACTTGTTTTTACACCAACTATTTAAAAATCTTACTATATCATTAATTTGGAAAAAATAAATCAAAGTAATCATTCGTAGGCTATGCATTTCCTGTGTATTGCAAGTCCCCCAACAGTTACTGCCTTGCAATTTTTATATTGCTATATGTTTGGAAACAATGAGTAAAGAGAAGAGGGGCAATATCTAAATGTATGCTTTACATTGAGCTCAAACAAGACAGTGTCCAAGAAAATATATCTTTATGTCAAAGAGTATTTTGCTGGTAAAAGTTTATTGATTAAAAGAGCACCTATTTATCTGCTCTAAATGCAGCATAATTTCACACAATATTTTGATCCACCACTATAGAAAAGGAAATTTGAAAAGTAGGAAATTTTATAATGAACTTAAAGGGAGTTAGTGCTCAATAAAATTTTTAAGTGAGTAAATAAATGAATAAATTACTGACAACTTGTACATTTGACAAATTTCATTTAGAAAACCTAGCATCTTTCCTTATGCAGCTTATCCTTACATACATGTTTGGTAAAAGGGCAGACTTAAAAGGTCACTAACAAGTTGAATTTCATCTTGTATTCTCTCTCTGTCTCTGTAAACCATAGGCTTATAGGCCCCTCTCTCTTTCTGAAAGTCTCAAATTACATAATTGCTTTAAAATGTGATCACCTGACCAGATGCCTAATTTATTTAATATAACTTGTTTAGCTGAATCAATTTAATTTCTAGGCCATATGTTCACACAGTTATTTCACTTAATCCATTTCAAGGTGGCTTCCTCTTTTGTGCCTTGCTGATTCACCTCCCTTTGATTGATCCAACTCTAGAATAAGTAATGACCTACATGAGAATTTTAGAATGACACTGTTGAAAAATCAAAAGACACATTCTATTCATCTTATCAGGCCAAGCATTCCAGGAATAATAAGCCTTCTTTGAATTCTGTGTCTTGCCTTTTTCTTTCATAGAAAATGAAAGGCTTAAAAAACGTATGTCCTAATCATGCCTACAAATGAAAATATGAATATTGGATTATCACTGAAAGCACAATAAATTCCAGTTAAATCACAGTATGATCCATTATGTTTTCTATAGTAATTTATCAAACATCTCCTCGCTTTCTCATGCGCAATGCCAAACTGAACATTTAACAAATATGAGAAGAGACATTTATGGAATTAACATTTTTCCACATAGAAATTTAGGGAGTTCTGTTTTCTCACCTTTTTACATTAGTTTGATTTTTAAAGTTTTTGGACTGTACCTGACTTTCAACTGTTTTCGCTAGATGATCAGGTTTTGTTTCAACATGTAATTGTTTTAGGAGAAATAATGGAGATTTGAATGACACCGTTATATTCTGTGTAAATTAATCTCAAGTTTCCTCCAGTTTGTCACACTTTAAGCTGGTCACTATAAATAAAAGAAAATGAAAGGGAAGGGAGAGATGCTATTTTTTTTTTACATTAATTGTACCCTCTCCTCTCTCCTCCTCATTCCTAGAATCATGATTCAACCACATTACAATTTTCTTCATTCTACCTGCCTCACTTTTTAAAAATCACAAAGAGATAGACAGTTGATAAATATGAGAAAATGACAGTTTCTGTACATCATTTTCTTACATACAAGATTCTGGCCTATGTTTCATATAAGGTTTTCTTTACTCACTGAATCAAATAGTCTAACATTCAGTTTGAATTATTGTTTTGTTTTTTAATAAAATTATATATTTATCCTTTTAAGTAAGTACATTAATTATAAAATATTTATTTTTCAAATGAGAGTCATTGGTATTGAATTTTATGTTATTTATCATTTAGTTCTTCAAAAGAATAAAACGTGACTTTTGCAGACTGGCTTTTTCAGTAAGAGGTTCTAGCCCTAGCTCTGGGAATTCTATAACCTTACTATGTCCTTAACACATGAAATCTAACAGATGGGTTGAAAATTCATTAATTTTCACTATGGAGTATTATATCATTTGGGTCCTAAACACATTAATGTTTGTGAGACCTGTCAACTCCTATTGATTTACCTATTTCCTCTTGAACGTTTTAAATGCTTTTTGTTTGGAAAGCATATTTCTCCACTTTATTCTCTGTACTATCAAGTAATGAGAAATTATTTGTTGATTGACTAATTCAACAGATATAAATGGAATGGATGGAGTATTTGAAAAAAAATTGCATCATCTAAAAAAAAAAGATGTCAAATTATATTAAAACTGAAGCACTATGAATTTTATGGTAAAAGAGGGCTATCACTCAGTGTGCAAGCCTAAATAACATATTTGTTAATTCAACAAGTAGCTGTTAAATTCCCACCATAGTCAGAATAATATAGGATATATGGAGCAGATGCTGTCAGGAACCCACCAGAATCCCCCTCACCTTGATCAGTTCACTGCATATCTGCCAGTTATCACCTATCAAGACTTCCATTCTTTGTCTGAACGCTTTCTCTGGCCACCTGGCTACTTTATTGCCTGTGGGGCAAGCTGCACCTCTATCTCCCCAGAAACAGCCTTTAGCCACAGATTGATGGGAGCTGAGATATCAATACTTATCTCCTCACCCCTCAGTTAACTCTAAGGTACCTGTTTTATACTGGATCCCAGATTTCTCTGACAAGATTCGGTTCCATTTAAACACAATAGTAACTTTCTTAAAAATAAACTGTCTGTCCTTGCTGTCATTCTTTTCACTCCTCTAATATTATTTCCAAAGATGACATTCTAAAATAATTACTTGCACTTCAGTCTTCGTCTCAGTTTGCTTCTCAGGAAACCGCACTACGATAGATATGGATATAAATATAGATAAATGGACGTAGAGTAGACATATATAATTGCCTATTTGTCATCATTATCAACATCAGCATCATCATCATAATCCTTAGCAATATCATTCAACATCAAGACCACCAACACTACAACATTAATAAAATTTTATTGCTATGAAATCAGCCAAGAGCTTCATGCACATTAAATTGTTTAAAATTCTTATGATGGTCCTGAGATAAGCACTCCTATTTCTCTAAGAAAACTAAGAAACAGAGAAACAGAGAGGCAATTTTCTCAAAGTCACCCAGCTTTTAGTGAGAAAATGTATAGTCATAGTTCAAACATTTAAATCATAGCAAGAGACTATATCTGATTTGCCATACACAAAAAAATTGCTTTTAGAGAAAGAAAGGTAAAAGGGATATGTAGTAGATCAGGGAAAATTTTGTGGAGAAAATATCAAGAGCTGGTATTTGAAAGAGCATGAATTAAACTGGAAAAAAAATTAGGAAAGTAAATAATGCCAATCGTATCACCTCATATTCTGCTAGTGGTAAATTTCTACATAGGTTCATAAAAGAATATGTAGTATGTTATTTGCAGTGTTAGCATGGTAACAGCAATTTGGGTGACTGTCAGTGGAGGAGTGGAAAGGCAAAAGACATAAGACTCCCTTTGCAGCAGTTAGAAGCCAAGACTCGATGTAATGTAGCTACGTATACAAGAGGCTGAGTGAACACATTTAAAAACATGATGAGAATCATAGCAAAATACTATCTACATGCACTTAAAATTTTATAAAGTTTAATAAAATATCTAATAAATATTCTATAAAAATATTTTATAAGAATATGCATTTGCAAAAGGATAAATATTGAGCGAAACAATGAGGTAGAGAGGAAAATGGGAGTGGTAAATACAATGGAATAACTATACCAAGAAACAGTAACAAGGTCTTGCACCATCCGGTGATACAGTGTTGCTAACTGGAGAGTGTGGTTAATTCGGCTCTGTTCCTGAGCTTCAATTACAACCAAGAACAATGAGAGCAACAATACAATATAAAACATCTTCCATTTCTGAGCCTCTGAGAACTGAAGTCAAGTGAATGAGCCACACAGTGACAACTGGCTGAATCAAGGCTCAGCCTCAATGGGTTTCCTTCAAAGTCCAAACTCTTAATTACAAGTTCCCTCCCACCCCCCTATGCTGTTTAATTCAAATATTTCATTAAGTTTTCAAGCATTCTTTAAAAATAATATTCAAAACAATGTAAATTTTTCAGTGTACTTATATTAAATTCAGATTTTTAATATTTTAATTATTAAAAATGTAGGCCAGGCGCAGTGGCTAACGCCCATAATCCCAGCACTTTGGGAGGCCGAGGCGGGCAGATCACCTGAGGTCGGGAGTTTGAGACCAGCCTGACCAAAATGGAGAAACCCTGTGTCTACTAAAAATACAAAATTAGCCGGACATGGTGGCACATGTCTCTAATCCCAGCTACTCAGGAGGCTGAGACAAGAGAATAGCTTGAACCTGGGAGGCAGAGGTTGCAGTGAGCCGAGTTCACGCCATTACACTCCAGCCTGGGCAACAAAAGCAAAACTCCATCCCGAAAATAAAATAAAAAAAAAAGTAAAATAAAAAGCAAAGGTTTCTAAGAGTTACTAAAATTAGTCCAAATAGTAATTTATAAAAATGAAAAATGGAGCAGGTACATCCAATTTAGCTTAACACATTTCGGGGGTCAAATGTTCACGTAAGCAGGAGCTATAAAAAATATTTTGTAAAGATTCTTTAGGAGATATTTTACAGGATGAGATGCCAGTCATCATTTTGAATTACAATTGAAAAATCATTCATTGCATACATTGAGGCCACATTTTATAGGCAACATCTTTATATTTAAAGTCCACTAGTAAGTTTTTCTTTAAAATGATTACTATTCTATGGAAATTTTCATATCAGGGAACAAAAAAAGGAACACAAAGTAATAAACTCTGCAGTGATAAATAATTTATTAGAACAGTATATTTTTTCACTTCAGAGTATGATTAATAAAGAATTTTTCTCAGTTTGTATTATAATATTCTGGTATCTATAGGCAACTGCAAAATAATGTTTATAGCATTAAAAAAATCAAGGTATTTCCCAAGCTACAAAAGTTATCACCAATACAAAGAAAACTGAAGCTGTAAACACTGTGATCACATAGTTAAATACTTAAAGGAATTATTTTTAAATAGTGCAGAGGTTTTGTGAACATAAATTTTCATTTTTCTAGAATAGGTACTTAGGAGTCTATTTGTAGACTATATATGTTAATTTTTGAAGAAACTGCTGAATGGTTTTCCAGAGTTGCTGTACCATTTTACACTCTCACAATCAATGTGAGATCCACTTTCTTTGTATTCTCAGTAAAGTTAAGTGATTTTTTAAACTGTCATTGAAGTCACATGATAGCTCTAGAACAGTGATTTTTAAACAACCATAGTGTCCATAAAATTACAGGGAGTTTAAGATGCAGATGTCCCAATTATTATTAATGATAATAGCTATAATTTATTGTGCCTCTAATGGGCCAGGTTGTCCCTAGGCTGTTTGGTTCCCTCACCTACTTTTTGAGGTAGGTTATTATTACCATCTTAATGGTAAAAAAAACTTATACCTCAGAATGATTTAATAACATATTGACAACCACACATACAGTTAAGGAGAATGTCAGTTTGAATTCAAAACCAAAAACTATTTCATTAAGCCACACAAAAGAGAGACTAAATATTTTTATAAGTTATAAATTACAGAAGCTCATGAACAGAAACTGGACATGGAAGAATGGCAGCGATTAATTTGTTGAGATAAATTTTTCTCTGTTAAGATTAATTTTTAATGCTGATGGCTAATTTGTAAGTTGAAAAATGCTCACGCCTTCTCAAATAATTTTAAAATATAAAGACCAAGGTGAAATTTGATAAGAGATAATGGTATTTTGTAGAGAAAATGAATTATTTAAATAAATATGTGTCTCAAATATATACAACCTATGGTTCTTTTGATATCATTAATGTATTGAAATGATGCCAATAAAAAGGATAATTTTTAAAGATAGACATAGTCTGAGCCCAGTGGCTCATGCCTGTAATCCCAGCACCTTGGAAGGCTGAGACAGGGGGATCACTTGAGGCCAGGAGTGCAAGACCAGCCTGGGAAACATAGAAAGACCATGTCTCTAAAAAAAAGTTTAAAAATCTGCCACGCATGGTGACACATGCCTATAGTCCAGGCTACTTGGGAGGGTGAAGTGACAGGATCACTTGAGCCAAGGAGTTCAAGACTACAGTGAGCTATGATTGTACCAATGCACTCCAGCCTGGGCAACAGAGTGAAACCGTCTCTAGAAATAAATAGATTTTAAATAAAATTTAAAATACATAAGTAAAATAAAACACTGAGACATGATTCTCTTCACACTAAATTTGAAACAATATGTCTTACAGCAAACTTATATCTTGTAGAAACTAAACTTTCTGGACAAGTGCTCCTATGACTATCAGGCAATCAAAAGACCATCATCTCATTCAAGATAAAACACTTTAGTAGAAAATTCTTGAGTTTTCTATTTCTTGCTGTAGACTGAGATGCTGTTGTACATTCTCTTAGTATAACAAGCATCCCATTTAAACAACCTCTGTGTAAACATTTGATGTACGGAATGATGCTGGATTTGTCTCAACTTTCACTGACATGTTGGCATCTGTCTTCAATCTGTTTAGAAGAATAAGCTTCCAGGTTGTTGTCTATTAATAAAATTGCAGCTTTTTTTCCCCATGGCAACAAGAGACTATTGGAAAATATTCTTTTTTCTAACTTTAAGAATTATAGTGTAAAATACCAGTTTGTAGGCTCAATTTTTAATCAAAATGCACATCTAAGTTACCTAGCCTGAAGCCATAATATAATATGTCACCACACAAATACAAATTCTTCTGAAAAACTATATAACATAAAAAGTGCAGCTCAGAAGCAAAATTTCTACCCACCCTCCACCTCTAGTTCAAAAATGGATGTGCACCAACTCTTTCCTAGCTCTTAATAACTCAAAAGACAGTTGTAGGCTGTATTTCCCTTCCTTTTTAATGTATCTTAGATTTGCTTTTCATAGGACGCAGAAAGAGTGGTGAAACTTGTTGCAGCTAATTTAATTGGACAGGGTTCAAGTATAGAATTGTAATCCAGCCCCACTTAGTCTCTTCTCATAACCCTCCCATAGCCTGCATTACACTTGGGAAATAGACACTGTAATACCAGGCATGTTCTAGCTTCTGCAGAGTAGCCTCATCCCCCTCACATCTCTATTTACTTAACCTTCTCTTCTCTTGGGCTTTTGAAGTAGGCGTAACTCTTTCCTGCCTTTGGAAACTCATGCATGACATTTCCTCTACCTGAAATGCTCTTGGCTAAACTTGGGCTGTCCATGGTCAATGCATGCATCAGGCTTTAGTTTGGTTTACTCCCTCAGATTCCAAGTCTACATCAATGTTTCTATTATATTCTCTCATATATTTTACAGTTTTAGTATATATATGTGTATATATATCATTACAAAATGTGATGTCTTATTTGAGATAGTATTTGTTTAAAGACTGACATCCACATTAAAGTGAAACTCCATCAGGGAAGGAAAAGAATCTTTCCTACTACATATTTTGTGCTTCACCTAGTACCATTAATAAACAAAAGGATTCAATACATACTTATTGTGTGAATCATCTGCCTCATAAATAGTTGCTCTGCTAGCTTACCAAAAATTTCTATAAAGAGCTCTATAAAGCAAGCTTTTGGTTTAAGATGCAATCAAGGTCAGAGCCAGTCAAGGGTCAACAAAATGCCAAATCGTTATCTTTGAACAACATTGTACTGTAGCTCTCTATAGTTTAGAAACACCTGTTTCTAAGTATTATTTATGGACAACACTTTATAATTGTTAGTATAAGTATTCACTTTGGCTAATGTGGACCAGCCAAGATCTGATACAATTTATTCTCGAAAAATGGCCTAATCCAATTAGGATTTCACTTTCCATTTTCCCATATTATAGCTGTAACTGAGACACTGTCGAAGTGATGTCATTTGCATTCTTCAATAATGAATGCTTCCTTCAAAAAATTAAAATCAGATTAGATTTTGTAAGATACTGCTATGACAAAGATAACCACCTAAGTCTTATTTGAATAATAGATTGGGAATATAAGCAAGGCATTGATTTTCAAATCCTGCCATTTGCAACAACATGTGTGAACCTGGAGGCCATTGTGCTAAGTGAAATAAGCAGATGCAGAAAGACAAATATTGCATGATCTCACTTATATGTGGAATCCAAAATTGTAAAACTCATCAAAACAGAGAGTCGAATGGTGGTTTACAGGGGATGGGGGAAGGAAAAATGGGGAGATGTTGGTCAAAGGGAACAAAATTTCAGTTATGCAGGATGAGTAAGTTCTAGAGATCTGATGTACAACAATGTGACTACAGTTGACAATATTGTATTGTGCAATTGGAATTTGCTAAAAGGGTAGTTTTAAGTGTTGTCACCACAAAAAAGAAAGAAAAATGCTAATGATGTGAGCTGATGGATATGTTAATTAACTTCATTATGATGAAAAATATTTATATATACACACACATCTAATGAAATAATCACATTGTATACCTTAAATTTATTTAAGTGTCATCTATAACGCAGTAAAACTGGGAGAAAAAGATGTAAACACTTCCCAAAATAGAAATTAAAGTAATAAAATACTTTAATTTTCTACACATTTTCAATGTTAAATTTAACATTCTAATTCTAAAAAATTATGTGGATACTTAAAAGATCATCTTAAGATGCTCCTTTCTCTTGAATCACTGTCAGAAAAATCAGCTATCTGCAAGCAGTAAGTTTTCCTTGACATAGTTAGAAATTCCAGATTTCAACTTAAAAACTTGAAAATTTTGTAACTTAAAAGAATATTTATAATATAATTATAATCATTTAATATAATAAACGCAAACAAGTTTCTAAAGGACTCCAAGTTAATTATAAATATTTGGGGTTGCATTCTTAAAATATTAAAATGGTTTGGCTATGTCCCCACCCAAATTTCATCTTGAATTCCCACGTGTTATAGGAGGGACCTGGTGGGAGGTAATTGAATCATGGGGACAGGTTTTTCCTGTGCTGTTCTCGTGATAGCGAGTAAGTCTCACAAGATCTAATGGTGTTGTAAGGGGGAGATTCCCTGCCCAATCTCTCTCCTTGCCTGCTGCCCTCCACGTAAGACATGACTTGCTCCTCCTTACCTTCCACCATGATTGTGAGCTCTCCAGCCACATGGAACTGTAAATATAATTAAACCTCTTTCTTTTACAAATTGCCCAGCATTGGGTGTGTCTTCATCAAACAGTGTGAAAATGGACTAATACAAATATAGACTTAATATGGCTCTAAACTACTCCAAGCAATTTGAATTATTAGAAACATTCCCACTGGAACATATAATGTACTTTCCCATCAGAACCCTTTTCTGGTTATAAACAAATTGCACTTTTTCTATTTTTTAAGACTCCAGGAACACTCTAGGGTAGGATCTTGGACGATATATAATTATATTATTTTAAGAGTGTGACTACTTACAATAGCATAAAGGTAATTCAAATATGTATTTAGGTCAATGTCCTTTAAAATTATTATCCCCAATATAAATAATAATATCCTTTTATTTAAATAAAAAATGATCTAACATAGTCACATTTCAGTTTCCTACAAGAAATAAATACAGTTAAAGATATCCTTGGGTTTGGTCTCTTTAAGTTACAAAGCTATACATTTTTCTACAAGAAAATAGACAACTGGATTAAGAATGTAATGGATATTTGATTTTTCTGCATAGTATCTACCCAGATAAACAATATATAGTGTATAGATCTATGTAATCAATATATATAAAATTAGTTTTTCTGCCTGTAACCACATCGAGTGAAAGTAGCACTAAATCAGAAGATGCTTGGGGATGCTTGGAATTAAATTGTAGTCAATGTGATGTACATGAAAATCACATCACGGAACCCCAAGAGAGAAGCTCAGAAAGTCAGCCATCCTCCTGAACAGTTGCAAGTGTTAATTAGAAACCCAGGTACATCTCAAATGGTCAGTTCTATGGAGTAGGCACCATGGTCAGGAGCAGCAAGGAGTGGTATTTGAAACATTGATCAGCAATTTTTTTCAAGCAGAGTCATCCCTCGATTGGTACTGTCCCAAGAAAATTCCAATAATGTGGAGACTTCATTATTATGAACATTTTAATAATGTTCAGAAAAGAGAAGAAAGGTCAGCACTTCATCAAACCCCCACGCACAAGTTGGACCCTCCACTGCCATGCTAGTTTCTGTCCAAAGGACAGGCCTCCCAAGCAATGCTGAAGAGGCCAGCTAGCAGATAAGCAAATAGGTAATCAATATTCTTCTCATGTTCTATATAGCCTTTGACTCAGCATGCTTCTATCATTCAGAGTTTATTGAAAGTTAGCTGAAAATTACTGCATGTTTTTCTACCATTTCAAACTAGTGAACTTGGAGAGCATACAGCTTTTAAATTAAATACAAGAGAGACTAGTTTTTACATAAAAGAAAAAAAATATCCTAACAGGTGTAAGAAAATGGGATTTAGATTAGGAAGACAAGTAGATGTTTTATAAAATTTGAATTGACTCACAACAATCAAAGTACAACTAGCAGTAGTTTGGGAATTAGCCTTTAAAGATGGCAATGGCTTGTCATGCTGATTGTGTACAAGCATCTCCCAAGAACTGACTGGCTTCTGTTTGTTTAGTAAAGATTTCCTACAGGTTACCCCAGTTAAGCTTGATAGCTTGTTAAAACAGAGTTCCTGCCCAAGGGCACCTCACAGACATTTCACGTTGTACTAAATGGCAACATAAAGTCTACATTCTTAGACAGGAAACAGTTTGTTTATCAAATCTTCCTGGGTTTCCCACCTTAGGTGCATATTTGCAAACCAAATTTGTGACGCATCATGTATTGGTTCACATCTCAGATACCAGGACATGGAGTAGGTGAAAATCAGACATCTGTAAAAAAGATAAGTTTACCTCTAGGTGTAATTTTGCTGTAATTAGTATGTGCTCTGGGAACACTTCTGTCACTTTTCAATAGGCTGATAATTCTCAATTAGCATACAATGCAAAATATGCATAGTTACTGGAGAAAGTTTGTATGGCAATGATTTTATGAAAGATAAAATATACCCCACCTGTTTTAAGAAAAAAATATTGTTTCCAAATACATAGAGGGTTTTTTTGCATATTACGCATGTTAAAACAGAACATGTCTAGCTCATCCAAGTTTATAATTTTGATTGTTTTTGACTCTAAGTGAAGTTAGACTCTTTGATAGAGAATGGCAATACAATCTCTAATAGACGTAGGTCCATGAGAATTCATTTTACAAATATACACTCAAAAGTATAAGGATTAAATGATCTTCTATTGGTTGCTTAAAATTTTAATTCATAAAAACTGTCAATATCTTAAAGGAACCTCAGTGTAGCTACATATTTAAAAGAGAGAAAAAGAGGAAATAGCAAAATTACCTCCAATGATTGAGGCAGAAAGATAACATTTGATTGCTTTGCCTTTGAACTGAAAAATAAGTTTTTAACTATATTTTTATGTTGATATAATTATGGATTTATATGCCATTATAAGAAATAATACAGAAAGGTCCCTAGTACGCTTACCCGGTTTTCTTGAATTTGGGAAAATTATAGAAAATGTCACAAGCAGGATGTTGGAATTCATGTATTCAAAGATATAGGACAGTTTTATTACCACAATAATCTCTGCTATTGGCCTTTTTTAGCCACACCTATGTCCCTGCCCAAACCTCCAACCTCACCCCTAACCCCTGACAACTACTAATATCTTCTCGATTTCTAAAATGTTGTCATTTCAGTAATGATAGATGAATGGAATCATACAGCATGTAATCTTTTTTTTATTTTTTGGAGACAGGGTCTCTCTCTTTTGCCCAGGCTGGAGTGCAGTGGTGCAATCTCAGTCACTGCAACTTATGCTTCCCAGGTTCAAGTGATTCTCCTGCCTCAGCCTCCTGAATAGCTGGAATTACAGGCGTGTGCCACCATGCCTAATTTTTGTAATTTTAGTAGAGACGGAGTTTCACCATGTTGGCCAGGCTGGTCTCGAACTCCTGACTTCAGGTGATCCACCCCCCCACCCCAGCCTTGGGCTCCAAAAATACTGGGATTACAGGTGTGAGCCATTGCACCCAGCCAGCATGTAATCTTTGAGGAATTAATTTTTTTCAACATAATTTCCTGGATAATTCAAATTGTTTTGTGTATCAATTGTTCACTTCTTTTTATTGCTAAGTAGTATCTCATGATATTGATGTACCACAGTTTAACCATTTACCATTTGAAGGACATCTGGGTAGTTTCTAGTTTTTGACTATTAGAAATAAAGTTGCCAAGAACATTCATGTATAGGTTTTTGCAGTAAAACAAATGTTTATTTCTCTGGTATAAAGTCTAAAGAGTGCAAATGCTAGATCCCATGGTAGTTACACATTTAGTTTTTTTGAGAAACTGCGAAATTATACTCCAAATATTATTTGCCAAAATAGCCGTACTATTTTACATTCTCACCAGCAGTATATGAATAAAACAGTTTCTCTACATCCTCACCAGCATTTGGTGTTGTCAATATTCTTTATTTTAGGCTTCGTGATGTGTAATATTTTACTGTGTTCTTTACTTTCCTTAATGGCTAATTATGTTGAATATCTTTCTGTGTGCTTCTTTGCCTTTATCTTTGGCAAAATGTCTGTTTATGTCTTTTGCCCATTTTCTATTATTTTTCTTTTTACTGAAGAGTTTTGATAAATCTTTGTATATTCTGGATACTATTATTTTGTTAAGTGAATCTTCTCTTGTTATGTTTCATGTCTTCTATGTGCATATGTAGTAGGTGGGTGGGGACTTGTCTCTTTATTCTTTTTTTTTTTTTTTTTTTTTTTTTGAGTCAGAGTCTTGCTCTGTCTTCCAAGCTGGAGTGCAGTGGCACGATCTCAGCTCACTGCAACCTCCGCCTCCTGGGTTCAAGTGATTCTCCTGCCTCAGCCTCCTGAGCAGCTGGGACTACAGATGCATGCCAGCGTGCCCAGCTAATTTTTGTATTTTTAGTAGAGATGGGGTTTCACCATATTGGCCAGGCTGGTCTCTAACTCCTGACCTCGTGATCCACCCGCCTTGGCCTCCCATTGTGCTGGGATTACAGGCGTGAGCCACCGCGCTTGGCCCAGTCTCCTTATTCTTTAATAGAATTTTAATGCAAAATGTTGCAGAGCAAAAGGTTTTTATTTTGAGAAGGTCCAATTTTTTTAATGGATTATGCTTTTGATGTCAAAGCTCAAGTGTAAGAACTCTTTTTTTTTTCCCATGAGACAGAATCTCAGTCTTCCCGTCTTTGCTTAGCCCTAGATGTGAAAGATTTTTTCCTATTTTTTCTTTTTATTTTTTTTCTTGAGATGGAGTTTCACCCTTGTTGTCCAGGCTGGAGTGCAGTGGTGCGATCTCGGCTCACTGCAACCTCCACCTCCTGGGTTCAAGCAATTCTCCTGCCTCGGCCTCCCAAGTAGCTGGATTACAGGTGCCTGCCACCAAGCCCGGCTAACTTTTGTATTTTTAGTAGAGATGGTGTTTCACCATGTTGGCCAGGCTGGTCTTGAACTCCTGACCTCAGGAGGGTGATCCACCAGCCTCAGCCTCCCAATGTGAGCCACCACACCTGGCCAGATTCTCCCCTACTTTTTTTTTTTAACTTTTGTAGTTTTATGTTTTTACACTTTGAATCTGTGACCCATTTGGAATTAATTTTTGTATAAGATTTGAGACTTAGATCAAAATTGATTGATTGATTGGTTGCCTGTAGATGTCCAATTGCTCCAGCACTATTTGTCAAAAGTCTATCCTTCCTCTATTGAATTTCTTTTGTGCTTTTGTCCAAAATGAGTTGCGCCAGTTTGTCTGGGTTTATTTCTGTTACCTATTCTGTTCCATTGATTCGTGTGTCTATTCCTCTGCTAATACCACACTGTCTTGATTTGTGTAGCTATATACTAGGACTTATATTGGATAGAGTGATTCCTCCCACATTATCCTTTTTTTTAATATTGTGTTACCTATTCTAGGTTTTGCACTTTGGGGGATAAATTTTAGAATAAATGTATCTATATCTACAAAAAATCTTTATGCATTTTGGTAGAAGTTGCATGAAACCTAAAGATAAATTTGGGTAGAATTGGCATAATTACTACATTGTCTTCCAATACATTAGCATGGTACTTTTCTTCTTTTATTTAGTTTTTTTAATCTCTTTTATCAGCATTTTGTAAATTATAGCATACGTATCCTGTAGAACGAATACAATCTTGAAGAATGAAATATATTTATGTGTGAATACTTCATTTCCTTTATGTAGATTTTTAATGTAAATATCATTTTTATGTGACTACAACATTCTCTTGGAAGTTCCCATTACAGCAAACAAAGAACTTAATGAAGAGTTAAAAATGAAAAACAAGCTACTCTTCCAAAAATAGTAGGCAGAAGCTTTGTTTTTTAAAAAGCATAAAATTATAGCACTCTTCCTCCAAGGTACTAATTGACTATTGTGTGCCTAATGCCAATTAAGTATTTAAACTTTTGATAGAAGCCTTTTGAAGGCATATATCAAATTATATCAACAGTCAGAATGTCAAGCTGATTAGTTTTCTGGCTCCATGCAGGTTTCTTTGATTGATCTTATTTTATCCTGACCATTAAGGACTTTGTAAAGCATGATGTTTTAAAGTACATTTGTTCTGGAGTCAGTTGGAAATTATTCTTAGCCCCAGTTCTATTGCCAAATAGATAACTGACCTTAGCCAATTTACCCTCTTTGATCAGTTTCTCCATCCTTTACATAGGAATGATGACATCACCTTCCTAGGAAAAGAGGATCCTGATTATAACAATTAAATGTGGTGCTTAGCAAATTAGCATTTAATCATTGGTATAGGTGCCAATTCTTGTTCTTTGAGAATTCAGAATTATCATTCTCATAAACTTATATGAAGTGAAAAGTAATTTATATAATGAAAGCTGAAGAGCAGTACAAAATATGATGATATGATGAAACCATCATGAAGGCGAATTACACATTTTTAAGTATGGTTTAATTTTAGGGTTCTAGGAAAGTTTTCATTCAAACTGTTTTTCACAATCTTTGATGCAGCTAAACTCCTCCTATTAAATCATTCTATTTCTATTATTTTTCTTCTCCTAAAATGCAAATAGCCCTGAACAAAGTAGACCTTAAAACTTTAGTAGATATAGCAATATTTTGAAATTCCTTTATCAAAATTATATATATTATATATATATGTATAATATGAGAAGAGCTATGGTGATATTTTTGGAAAATTTCTCAAGAAAAGAAGTTTTGGTTGGAGAGCCTGGATGATGAGGAACCAGCTAAACAAAGAGAAGAGTAGGACAGGACACAACATTTATTTGCTTATTTTCTTACAAGCTTGATCAAAGTATAAATCACTGGTTCTCAACCGTGGCTGCATTTTAGAATCATCTTGGGAATTTAATGCATACATACTTACATAAACCCACGCATACACACACATAGATGCATGCATGCATATCTTTGTCAAAGCCCTACCCGAGATTCTATTGTGGTTTAATTGGTCTGTGGTGGGGCTTGTGCAACAGTATTTTTCTTCAGTGTTTTTTAAACCCTCTACCCTGCCCTGGGATTTCACATACTACTAGGTTTGAAAATCTCCTGTATATAAATTACAGAAACTGAATGGAATGAAGTGTTTAGATGTATTGAATTGCTCTCTGGATTGAGAATCAAAGGAATTGGGTGCTAATTCTGAACTTTGTGAAAACAATTTGCCTTTCTATATTTTTTCCTTCTCATTTGGAAAATAAAATAGTTTTATTAGGACAGACTCTAAAGATCCTTGTAGTTCTGAAATAAAAATGTCATTATTCTAAATACTAAAGCCATGTAACATTTCTCCTTCCTCATGCTATTTAAATCAACATTTGTACATAGACTTAGTATGACAGATTCCTCCCTGAAGGAGTATTAGATTAATGGATGGTTGGAGATAGTTTATAAATCCCATCCCCAAAGTAAAGCTTTATCAGATATCCTGAAAGAGATCTGGGTACATTAGGGAAAATAACATTTCCATTCCAGATTCAATACTGATCCATCAAATCTGTTTGCCTGCTGTCAGCAGAAGTTAATGCCAGATGCTTGAGAGGCAGGCCGGAACAATCCTGAATGCCACCAGTTAACTGTGTGAAACTCGACTGTGGGGAACAATTCTCTCTGGTTCCTCCAGATACTGTTGAGACATTATGAACTATTAGCTTTAATTACACTTTCAGTGGCGTAGCTATGAGCGCAAGGATCAGCTACACTCAAATCCAAGTTGTAAAAACCCAGTCACACAGTTAGTTTCTGTGCTTGAGTCACAGATAAATGTTCCAGTGTGTTCTAAATAATCCCAAGAAATTATTCTGGAACCTGCGCCAGCTTACTTCCTGCTTCTGGAACGGCAGTGCTTTAATGAATTTCAACTTTTATAAAATGTAGATTTTGATGTTTTGGTTAGGGAACACATCTAAGTAACTTCAGGTTCAGAGTGACGGAGGATGAATGCGTGAGACATCTATATGTTCTCTTTTAACATAGGTTTTAAAAAATGTTATTTGCAATTTAATCATGAGGCAGGACAGCATTTTAGCTGAAATGATGGCAGTAGAA
Organism: Homo sapiens; assembly: GCF_000001405.40. Classification (NCBI taxonomy): domain Eukaryota; kingdom Metazoa; phylum Chordata; class Mammalia; order Primates; family Hominidae; genus Homo; species Homo sapiens. The sequence goes on from NC_000005.10 coordinate 164,672,946, forward strand.
GCTATAGTCACTGCCAAGGGTGCTTGTTTTGGCTCCTCTAAGGTAGAAACTAGCTCACGGCTTGAACAGGCAGCTTCATGAGCGATGGAGGACCAAACACTCTAAGGCCTAAATCAAATAAAGATCTAGTTAAGTGCCTAATGGACCTCTCAAGCAGATGCAGACAGTTTCAATATGCTAACTATTGTATAAGATTATTAGGTTGAGAGTGCAACATAAAATCTTATTAAGACATAGCACAAGATATGGAAAATGGACAAAGGCAAAAGAAAGGCTTTTCCAAATGTTTCTGGACTAAACTTCAGTTCAGGCATTCAGCATATGTATATACTGAATGACTTTTTTCAAAAAATATTTTCAAAGATAACTTAGATTGAAATTGAATAAACGGTTCCATTTTTTTCAGACTCTTAGATTAGACATCTTACTTTATTTGATTCACAGAAAACAAATTTTTTAAATTTACAGTGTCCATCAGTTCAATCTGGTCTTATGGAAAAATGAACAGCTATTATCTTTTAAAGGTTTCCACCTAGTGGTAAAGTTATTATGAGCAGGAGATAGGACCTCAATGATTAAAGCAGATACAAACACTAACATTAGGCAAGTACTTCAACTTTAGTCTTTTGTGAAGTTGAGAACTAGGCTTTAAGTACATTCATGATGCTGATAGTAGCAATCTACTTAAACTTTTGTGGGAATAAGGTCACTTTTCTCCTTTTGCTTTACTTACATTGCTGCCTTAATTGCTGTTAGAGATGTCTTAACTCTATAAAATTATAAGCAGTAGTTTGTACGCTTTTTGTAGGCTTCAGAGAAAGATGCAGCATAAAGTAGCAATTTTCTTTAAGATTAAAAATAAAAACTGGTTTATGTAGAGTCATCAGATTATTCATAGTGAATAAAGAACATAACCTGCAAGGGAGTGAGGAGGTATAAACCCTCGCCATTAACAAACCATACACATTTGCTCAACCATCTTTTTAGGTCTCAATTTCATGCTCTGTATAATGAGGGAGTTGTAATTAAATCTGGGGTGACACATTGGTTGCCATGGGCTAATATGAGTTTTTGATGTTCACTGCTTAATCTGTACATATTAGAGGAGAGGAAGAATGTGGAAGTGTAAGGGAGGGAGAAAGAGGAGGAAGAGGCAGATAAAGAGCATTTCAAGCTTCTATGTAGAGCAGTCATTCTACAGAAGGCCCCAGTCACCATGAGTCCCTTTCCATGCTAGCTGTTTTACTCAGCTACTCATCTGGTCTTTGATGGCATGTGAGGTTGTGTCTCCAAGTCTGGATGATTTCTAGAGTGACATCTAGATTAAGCCTATTTCACAGTTATCCAGGTATCTTGTGAAATCAAATTAATGGGTAATATTTATTGAGTTATTATGTACCAGACAATGCACATTATCAAAGTTCATCCTTACAACCACTCTAAACATCTATCATTTTCCTTTCACCAATGAATGAAGAAACCACAGTTTGTGGAAGTTAAATAAGTTGCCTGAAGTCACATAGTCAGAAATTGGCAGAACAGGGATTCTAGTCTAGTACAATCCAGAACTCAAGTACCTAATCTGCCCAGAGGTCTGTTTCACATTCCCAAACTAGAGAATTGGCATTTATATTCTATAGTTGACTGGTCACTCTCTACCTAGCTTCTCAATATATCTTAATTTTGAAGATGCAAGGAAACAAAAAAGAGGTCGTCTTTTGCTTTGTAATGCTGTTACATCTCAGTGCTTCCTAGTGTGATTTATGCAACCAAAACATATTTAGATGAAGGTAAGCACAAAGAAAAAGGCAGAGAATTGACGTAAGTTTTTTCTCCTTGATTGTGTTACAACTTCAGTATTGACTTGTGCAACAAAATGTTCGAAAGCATTCAGAATAGAATTTGAAATTTCTCTAAAACAAATGCAGCATTGGGGTGGCACATCATTGTGAATCTGGTCCTGTGACTGTAAGGATGACATTATAGTTTACTACTTGACCAAAGAGTTCCATTAGTAATATGATGGGATATGAAAAATGTGGGCTTTAAATGTTTACATTATTTAAGACTAACTCATCTTCTAAATATACATTTAAACATTTTTGGGGACATTATGAGGGAGAAAAGGTAGAGAATAATTAATCTGGATGCTTCCAAAGTACAGTTGCCTGTAAGAATCACAAATCTAATGATTAAAATGTCAGAGCATAGAAACTTGCATGTAACGTGAAGTAGTTCAACAAGATACATTGTACTTTAATTGTACTCAATGTGTGTGATTCAGATGGATCAATTGTAAAAAGTAGGGCAACATACTGATTAAAAAGTTCATTGTTTTTTCAATAACATTTTACTATGTTGTTTTCATGAGAAATTGCTAAAACTTGCCTTGAAATGCTGATGGAATTCTAAGCATATTCAGGCATCAAAACTCATTGTGCATTTGAAATTTCTCCATGGTCTGTTCTGAATAAACTGGCCACTGGGGTTAATAGTCATCAAGCCAGGACTTTCTGACCTATTGGAAATTTAGATCGTAGCTTATTTTGTACTGCAGCATCCTGTGCTGGTCCTCTAAGGACTCAGCACAAACTGTAGAAAGCAATTATGAGCTTGGAAAGAGATGAAGCCAGAGAGAGCAAGATTCGCTTCTTAAAACTTTTCTTTTTCTCCTTCTTAATATTAATGTTTCCCTCCACAATGAGTTAACAGAATGAGGTAGAGAAAAGTTCCCCCTACTTTGCAAAGTTGAACCTTTTTCTTTCCTTGCTTAGGTGATAGCACTGACACTTCACACAGAGGGCTAATTTACATTTAATGCCTTGGAAATTAATTATAGAGAATAAAGATAATTGTAAAAGTACCCCCATATGCACTTCCAAAAATAAACAAACAAACCACATCATGATTACTAAACAGCCATCTAATGCTTAATTTTATGCACAGTGGGAAGGGCACCAGTAGTCTGGAAAGGGATGGAGGAAAGAGAAGAAAGGATACTAATTTGAAATATGTAACAGCAGAGGCAGTTTTACGTGGTAATGACCTGCAGCTTTCCCAGCAGGAGCAGAAGTCCTCAAAGCTTTATGCGTGGAGTCCAAGGACATGCTTACTGGAATTTGGGCCCAGCCGGTCAGCCAAATTACTTAAATAATGATTTAACCAAGTTCGAGACTTTTTCCTGTGCCAGTGGGTGGGTATGCCAGGCATAAGCATATTGCTTTTGCTGTTATGATTAACTGGATATGTCTCATTCAAACAAAATCTCCTGACTAAATTTACACTTCTCCTTTTATATAGAAGACCAAGATAGATTTGTCTGGGGAAGAAGAATCACAATGCCACCAATATTTATATTTGATATTGCTCTAGAAAAACTCATATAGAGACATATTCCTTTTAAATGTTGCTCTTTACTTCAATGGGGCAAATACAACTTCAAATGTTCACCTTGCCAGGCATCCCAAATGTCCTCCACCAAAGCTTTTATTGGAATTTTGATGCAGAAAGAGCAACAAGAAAGAATAGAATAAATTCTGCTCAAAAGTCAGCTAATCAAGAGACCTTCATTCCTTGATTTCTCTTTAAAATTTAAAAACCCTCTGTCTCCTGCATTTAACAACTACTAATTCCACTTGACATTTTAGCCCTCTTTCCTTAAAATAAGCTGCCATTTATTCACTTATTTATGTGTTTATGGATGGTCTGCTCCACTTGAATGCCAGTTTGATGAGGGCAAGGAAATCTGTGGGATATTATGTCTGTAGATCCTAGATCAGTGCCTGGCATACAATAGGCACTCAACTATTAATTGAAAGAATAAGCAGACTTAAATTATGTGCATTTATTTCACAAGATTATCAAATGGAATATAGTTATACACCAACTCTATTTATCTATAGATAGGGCATCTCAGTGGCTAGGAGAAGCTTGAGTTTACTTCATCTTTTAAAAATAAAGAAATTCCAAAACCTGTGTAATAAAACATTTAAAATGCACTGAAGTGTTGTTAGTTATTAAAATTAACTATTTAAACTGAAAAAAAAAACAATGTAAAAGAGTTATCATAGGGTATTTCCAAAATTTATAAAACATTGATTGCTAGTTCACTACAGATGATAAGGAAGCAGAACTTTTAAGTTCTCAGAATATTTTCCTTCAATTGTGACAGGATACATTACCTCATTTGTCAATAACATCCATAATCTATATATAAGGATTGTTGTTGATATGAAGTGCAGACCAAATGTCTCTTCTATATCCCTAATTCTTCATATCCCATCCCCAAATAGGTGCTAGGAACTTTACTGCAGCCCACCTGGCAAATCTTCATGTCACATCACCAGCCTTCAGAAGACACATGGCAAATATTAGTGTAAATTCTGGACATGGGTAGCAGCAGTAAATGCTAAGTTATAGAACTAAAGTAGCTGGCTGTAGTACTCCAGGAAGTTGGCTTTGAAATGACCATATCCAACAGCCCTTGTTAAAGTCTCATGCCCAGTTAAACATAGCACATGTTGGGTAAGATGGTAAAGTTAATTTTGGAATGTATTTTTTTTTTCAGTGTGTATTAGTTTCCTGTCACTGCTGTCAAAAATTACCGCAAACTGGGTGTCTGAAACAAAATTTATTCTCTCACAGTTCTGGATGTCAGAAATACAAAGTCAGCATCACTGGGCTGAAATGATGATATCGGCAGGGCCTCATTCCCTCTAGAGGTTCTAGAAGAGAATCTGTTTTATTCTCTTCCATCGTCTGGTAGCTGCCAGCATTCCTTGGCTTGTGGCTACATTACTTCAATCTCTGCCTCCGTGGTCACATTGCCTGAAATTTCCCTCTAGCTCTCTTTTATAAGGGCATCTGTGATTGCATTTAGGGCCTACCTGGATAATCCAGAATACTGTCCCAGTATTTTTCTATCCTTAAAGGAATCACATCTTCACTTTTTTTTTTTGCTATAAAAGGTTAACATCCATGCATACTATGCATCAGGATGTGGACATCTCTTGGGAGATGTCATTATTCAACCTAGCACAGACTACCATCTGGCCTACAGAGATTCATATCTGTCCCATATGCCAAATATATTCACCCTGTCCCAACAACCCCAAAAGTCTCAACTCTAATTAAAGTATTAATGCATCTAAAATTGCAACTAAATATTATGAGCTCAAAAGTCCCCAATCTCATTATCTAAATAATCTAACTTAGGTATGAATCAGAGTGTGGGTGTGATCCATCCTGTGGCAAAATTTCTATCTCTGGACCTGTGAAACTAGGACACAGGTTATCTGCTCCCAAAAATGGTGAGACAGATATACAATAATAGTTATACACATGCTCAATCCAAAATAGGGAAATGGAAGAAAAAAAAGAGTTGCTAGTCCCCAGATAATTTCAGAATCCAGCCAGTCTTTATTATATTTCAAGATCTGGAAATAATTCTCTGCAGCTAATCACTCTGTCTTCCATACCCATTCCTGTGGCCTCGGCATCCACAGCTTGGGCTTAGGGTGCTGCGTATGTGGTTCTGGTCTCTGTTCCATTGGGAGTTCCATTATAACTGTCCACTGGAGTTACATTGTAACCATCCAACAAGTTCTTTTTGCCCACTGTGTGGATAGAGCCAACTTATCAAGACAGGGGAAATGCGATAGAAAAAGAGCTTAGTTAACACAGAGCTAACTGAACTGGAGACCTGAGTTCTATTATTACTCAAATCAGCTTCCCCTAAAATTCTGAGGCTAGGGCTTTTCAAGGATAGTTTGGTGGGTGGCTGACTGGTTGGGGATGCAATCATAGGCCGTGTGGAAAATGGGCCTCCTGCAGCTGAGCCTGCTTCTGTGTGCAGCCACAGGACTGGTTGGTAGGGTTGGGTGGGGCCATCAGTCATCAGAAATGCAAAAATCTAAAAAGTCATCTCAAAAGGCCAACCTGAGGTTCTGCAGTACTGATGTTACCTGCAGGAGTAATTGGGGAGTTACAAATCTTATGATCTCTGGATAATGGCTGGTAATCATTTATGTCTACAGCTTAGCAGAATTCAGGTTCCTCTCATCCTTCCAACCCAGTGGTCTTTCATTAGCTTTACAATGGCAGTTTAGTTTGGGGGAAGGGCTACTAGCATTTAATCTATAAACAAATGTCTCCCAAAGCCCAGAAATAATCAAGGGAGGTTTGGAGGTTAAAGACAAGTTGGGGGTTGGTTAGATCAGATCTCTCACTGTCATACTTTTCTCACTGTTATAATTTTTGCAAACATGGTTTCAAACTTTCCTTCATTTCATCCTGTCTCTGTCCCTTTCAGGCCAAGCTGGCAGTCTTTCTGTTGATATAACAATTCTTGAATCCTTGTATGTCACAGGGATTTATGCTGAAATAAATTAAAATATTTTACCCCAAAATATATTTCTTTGACATATTTTGAAATGGCTGTCACTTGTCCGGCAGGCAGAAGTGGCCTTGCAGTGCTGTCTTATGTGGGGAAAATTTGCAGCTGCAGAGAATCTCCATTAATGCAGCCATGCCCCATCCCCTTTCTATGCCTCCCCACCCCTCACCCCCACCCCATGCAGGAGAGATTGAGAGTCTGACACCTTTAAAAATCTAAAAAGAAACCTTTACCATTTTTTCTCTCTGAGAGTGGCTTCATCTATATAACAAGGCCTCCTTTGCTAGCCAAGCTTCCTGCCAACCACCCATAACCTGTTTTACTGGATCTAAGTCTCCATTCTTTCCATAACTTCAAAATGGTATATAAGTCTCTGTAACTCATTGGAATGTTGGGTCTTTATTCTGAAAGTTTCCACATATCCAAATTACATAAATTTATCTGCCTTTTCTCCTATTAATTAATATGCCTCAGGTCAGTGTAATTTTTAGAAAACCTTTAGGGGGCCAAGAGCCTATGACCCCAAAATGCCATTAGACAAGAGAGTCTTCCACATACCTTTTCTGAATAATCTCATCTTCCTGGCTTCTGCTGTGAGAGTAGAGTGGATCAAGTCACATGCTTACTCTCTTCAAAGAGCCCTCTGTGTGAGGGAATACTCTGACCTTTTTGATCATTTTGAGTAACTAGTCAATGGTTGTCTACCTACTGTCAATAACAAAAGGTCAAATTCTGTAAAATACTTGAAGAAATTTATTCTGAGCCAAATATCAGGACCATGACCCTTAACAGAGCCCCAGGAATCCCTAAGAACATTTGTCCAGTGTGGTCAGGCTATAGCTTGGTTTTATACATTTTAGAGAGACTTAAGTCATCAATCAATATATGAAAGATATACATTGTTTCAGTCTGGAAAGGTGGGACAGTTTGAAGTGGAGTGGGAACAGCTTCCAGGTCACAGGTGGGTACAAAGATTTTCTAACTGGCAATGGATTGAAAGAGTTAAGGTATTATTTAAAGACCAAAGGAGTGTCTGGGTTAAGATAAAGGGTTGTGGACACCAAGGTTTTTATTATGTAGATGAAGCACTCAGGTAGCAGGCTTCAGAGAGAATAGATTGTAAATGTTTCTTATCAGAATTAGAAAGGTGCCAGACCCTTACTTAATTCTCTCCTGGATCAGGAAAAAGACATGGGAAGGGAAGGGAAACAGAATGTAGATTTTCACAGAGACAGTTTTTCATGACCATTTCAAAATATGCCAAAGAAATATATTTTGGGACAAAGCACTTAGATTTCTTACAGGGTCTGCTATCTGTCATGTTGGTATCTTATTGCTACAAAGAGTACATTTTCTCAGTCTTAAGGTCTCTGGTTTTTTTTTTGTTTGTTTTTTGTTTTGTTTGTTTGTTTTGTTTTTGAGACAGAATTTCACTCTTGCTGCCCAGGCTGGAGTGCAATGGCGTGATCTTGGCTCACTGCAACCTCTACCTCCTGGTTTCAAGCGATTCTCCTGTCTCAGCCTTCTGAGCAGCTGGGATTATAGGTGCATGCCACTATGCCCAGCTAATTTGTGTATTTTTAATAGAGACGAGGTCTCATCATGTTGATCAGGCTGGTCTCGAATTCCTGACCTCAGGTAATCCACCCTCCTCAGCCTCCCAAAGTGCTGAAGGTCTCTGTTTTAATGTTAATGCTGGTCAGTTGTGCCTGCATTCCAAAAGGGAATATAATGAGGCATGTCTGACCTCCCTTTCCCGTCATGGCCTGAACTAATTTTTCAGTTTAACTTTGGAATGCCCTTGGCCAAAAGGAGGGGTCCATTCAGTTGGATGGGGGGCTTGGAGTTTTATTTTTGGTTTACACTAAACTCTTGGCTTTATATTCAGAACTCATTTTCCTAACAATAAATCTCCTATTTTTAGCATTTTTTGCAATCTGTGTAGGTTGGGAATTTTCCAAATTGTCAAATCCTGCTTCATTTTGGCTTAACAGTTCTTCCCTGAATCTTTCTCTTTCCCTTTCACATTTTACTAAAGGCAGTAAGAAGAAACCAGGGCACACCTTGAATGCTTTTCTTAGAAATGTCCTCGGCTCAGTATCCCAGTTCATCACTTTCAAGTTTCTCTTTCCATTTCCTCTGTACCCTTACTGGAAACACTATGAACATCTATATTTTCACCAACAGTCTGTTCAAGGCAATCCAGGATTTTTCTGTCATGCACCTCAAAATTATTCCAGCTTCTTCCCATTACCCAGTCCCAAAAGCACTTCCACATTTTTAGGAATTTGTTACAGTAGCCCTCCCTGCCAAACACAGTATCAAAGTCTATTTTAGTTTCCTGTGGCTGCTGTAACAAATTAGCACAAACTCAGTGGCTGGGCGCCGTGGCTCATGCCTGTAATGCCAGCACTTTGGGAGGCCAAGGCGGGCAGATCACGAAGTCAGGAGATTGACACCATCCTGGCTAACACAGTGAAACTCTGTCTCTACTAAAAACACAAAAAATTAGCTGGGCATGGTGGCGGGTGCCTGTAGTCCCAGCTATTTGGGAGGCTGAGGCAGGATAATGGGGTGAAACTGGGAGGCAGAGCTTGCAGTGAGCCAAGATCGTGCCACTGCACTCCAGCCTGGGTGATAGAGCAAGACTCCGTCTCAAAAAACAAACAAACAAACAAAAAACTATATTCTCTCACAGTTCTGGAGCCTGGAAATCTGAAATCAGAATCACTGCACTGAAATCCTGGTGTCAGCACAGCCACACACACACTCTGCATGCTCTCGAAGAGAATCTATTCCTTGTCTCTTTCAGCTTCTGATGAGTGCTGACATGTCTTGCTTGTGGCCACATTGCTCCACCCTTTATGGCCAGTTTCTTCAAATATCTCTCTGCTCCATCTTCACACTGCTGACTTTCTCTCTGTGTGTAATCCTTATAGGTCCCTACCCTTCTTATAAGGATACCTATGATCACATTTAAGGCCCACCTGGATAATTCAGAGTAGTCTTTGCATTTTAAGATTCTTAATTACATCCACAGAGACCTTGTTTCCATATGAGGTAACATTGACAGGTTGCAGGAGTTAGGACCTGCTATGTTATTAGGAAAAAAAACCAAAAAACATGGTGTCTGATTTTGCACTCAAAATAACTCAATAGTGTTTAAAAATTTTGTTTCTCTTCTTAGAAGAGAACACTTAATCTGCATCCACTCATTCATTATCTAATGAGCATGAAATTTTCCCTTTTTCATCTACTATATTTAGTCCGTCAGCATCAGCAAGACTGTCATCAAAACAGACTCTCTCTGCTTGTCCAGTGCTACCTTTCTATCTCAAGCTATGGTTATTTCTCTCCTGAACTTTAGCAGTAACCTCCAAACTGTCGCCCAGCCTTCACTCTTGTCTTCCAACAATTCACTCTCCCCAAAGCAACCAGAATCTTTTAAAATCCCATCAGCTAATGTCATTCTCCTGCTTAATACCACACACTGGCATCCTATTTTAATTTGAATAAAAACTAATGTGTTACCTTTACTTCAGATGTTCCATAAAACCAATAATCTAATAGATTCATTTGTCCCTTCAATGTGGGCTCCTTTTTTTTCCACACATAAAGAGCTAAAATGACCATTCCTATTCACAAAGGAGAGAAATATGTTTGCTAAAATGGAAATTTGTTGCACTTTTAATGATGTCACTTAATTCTGTACTTTACCTTGCCTTAAAAATAATATCTTCTAATGTCTTTTACAAGGTATTTAGAAATACATGGTTCCAATCACACTTAGATGAACCTTGTGTTTATTGCTTAGTCTGTGATAAATATTTTACTAGTATTAGTTTTTTGTGTGTGTGTTTCTTTTTTTTTTTTTTTTTTGTGGTGGAGTCTCACTCTGTCGCCCAGGCTAGAAGGCAGTGGTGCGATCTTGACTCACTGCAAGCTCCGCCTCCCGGTTTCACGCCATTCTCCTGCCTCAGCCTCCTGATTAGCTGGGACTACAGGTGCCTGCCACCACGCCAGGCTAAGTTTTTGTATTTTTAGTAGAGTAGGGGTTTCACCATGTTAGCCAGGATGGTCTCGATCTCCTGACCTCATGATCCACCCACCTCAGCCTCCCAAAGTGCTGGGATTACAGGCGTGAGCCAACGCGCCCGGCCACTAGTATTAGTTTTAGACCTACCACTGGCTTATCAATTATCTCTTGATAAAGGTGTCACTTAACATTTTCATGGTTGGTCAAAAATCAACAGTGATTTATTGAATACTTGCAGGATCTGCTATCTGTCATGTAGCAATTCAGGGAAAAATGTGTGTGTGTATATATATTTATAAAACATATATAAAATTATATTTATTTTATAATTATACAATTGAAATAATATAGTATATATTATATATTTGTGTATAATATATACACATTTATATATATATAAAATATATATTTTATATATAATATATATATAATATATATTATATATTTTATATATAATATATATATTTTCCCCTGGCTTGTGAAAGCATCTCCTTTATTTCATCTTGTCATTCAGTGCCTCAAAATTAAAGATAAAATGTAAATTAACAGCATCTCAAAGTAAAAATGCCAATTTACAAAGGAACTCACAAAAGCCCAGAAAGTTATAGACTTCTTTTAGTAGCTAAAAATTTAAAAACTGTACCTTTTGCATGTATCATATGGGTAATTATAAGATTAATACCCATTGTTAGCAAAACTGTGAGAAGTACTTTTCAAGTACTTTTGATGCAATGCACTCATAGTGTAAAGTCAGCACAGCACAGCTATGCTGGAAAGTTATTTGTGAAGAATCATCAGTGCTATCAAAACGAGCATATCGGCAGGGCCTGGTGGCTTATGCCTGTAAACCCAGAACTTTGGGAGGCCGAGGCGGGCAGATTGTCTGAGGTCAGGAGTTTGAGACCAGCCTGGCCAACATGGTGAAACCCCATCTCTACTACAATACAAAAATTAGCCAGGCAAAGTGGCAAACTCCTGTAATCCCAGCTACATGTCTTAGGAGGCTGAGACATGAGACTCCCTTGCACCAGGAGGTGGAGTTTGCAGTGAGTGGAGATCGTGCTATTGCACTCCAGCCTGAGTGACAGAGTGAGACTCTCTTGGAAAAAACAAGCAAAAACAGAAAGAGTATACCTTCGAACATAGCTCTTCCTTTTAAACTAATAAAAAAATCAAATATGTGCAAGAAAATTTGTGCATAAGGACATTTGTTATATCATTCTTTACAAGAAGGTGAATTTTTAAAAAATCTGATTAAGTGAATAAATTACATGATAGCCACATCCTGAAACAGTACATGGCCATTAAAAATCATGATTTAGAAAAACATTTTGTGACACTAACAAATATTCATGATATGTAGTCAGAGCATGTTAAGCAATTGTTAAGTGCCTTATTATTTCAGTTTTTTGAGACATACACATAAGAGCACACTTCTGGAAGCACACAAATAATAAATATTGAAGGTATTAATGATGACCTTCATTTTCTTCTTAAAATTATTTCTCTTTTCAAAATTTTAGCTTGACCATACATTGTTTCTGTAGTATACTTGCTGAAGAGAAAACAAAATCTGTGCATTCTAAAAAAAAGTTGCTCATGGAAAGATTAAAAGAGGCCCTTATAGGATCAGAGCCCCAGAAACATTCACATGAAAGTTACTGGATGCTCCTTTTTTTTTTTTGTCTGCAATAGGAGAGGCAGAAAAATAGGTATCTAGAGGCTGGAGACCTTATAAAAGAGCTGATGATCTCTTACTTATTATCTCAATCAATGACGCAGAATCAATATTCTTAAAATTCCATAGAATTATGCACAGATGCACACAGAGCTACAGTCAAGTATTATCTATGTTGACAGAATACCACCAAGACAAAATTAATCACATTCAGATTAGACCAAAAATGTTGTACATTGAACCTTTCATTGAAGGGTGCTTGGAGGTATATATGTGGGGAAGGGAGATGTTAATGACAAAGATAAATAGTTCCTTAATTTGGAGCATGCTGATAATGTCATACTTAGTATTCATTCTCTGGGGTGCAGTGGGGGAAAATCATGCAAATTCATGTGTTTAGAAAGATATACACATTGCATTTTTGGGTGGCTATTTTGCAACCCTTCTGAGTATTAGCTTTTAATAATTTCATATATATTAAAAGCTAATCAAAAATAAACTAATTTTTAAAAATAAAAATGCCATCTCATAAAAGGAATCAAATCTAAAAAAAATTATCTTTTCTTATTTTGTTTCTATACACTTCATTAATCGTATTCTATTCCTTTCATCACTGTCTCCCTTTCTCAGAGCCAGAAGTAAAATTACCATCAGTTACCTAGGATCATCAACTAATAAAACTGAACTCAGGTGCTTTCTAGCTCCATGTATTTCTTCAGGGATTATATCTGTGAAAAGCACTCACATCAGATCCAAGAGAAGTGGGAAGAAGTTGTCCATTGACTCAAAATTTTGTTTAAATACTTTACTATATACAATGTATATATGTATTAACTTTCCCGATTTGCACATTAGTTTACAGATAACATTTGTTTCATTATAACAACAACCAAGAAACCCAAAATACAACCGAAACAATAAGCCCATCTACTCAAATGTACGCTTTCAGCTTGCTTTAATATGAGTAAGAATCTCTACATGGGCATACAGGTTAGATCTATCATATACAATTGCAAAGTATTCTGGAATCTAAGTTAGATGATGTATTTTGAATGGCTTCTTCAGTTTTTCTGACATTCTATCCCTCTATGCATTTATCAGTGCTCAGAAGCAATTGACCAATCTATGCAGAACTGTCCTGTAGGTCTTCTACATCCCTATCCCTGTTCACATCCATTATATTTGTTATAGTAAATAGTATTTACAAGTTGTTCCCTTCACTCCACAGAGCTCAGAGCTCCATTAAAACAGGGAAAAATGCTCTTCATCTTTGTACACCTGAAATCAAGCCAAGTGCCCAGCACATGATAGACTTTCCCTAAAGTATTCACAAAGAATAATCAAAGAATGAACAACAATGATATTGATATCTTGAAAATATTATAGGAAATCAAAATTGTAAATTTCAGTGAAGATACCCCAAACAACTCCAGCCAATTACTTGTGAGAATAATTGATTTTAAATAAGATCCTCTTTCAGCTTATATTTTAAAAATAAGATTTAAGGTAATGTAATTATGAAGAGTATTATAAAGATGTAAAATACATCTCCTAGAAATTATTTAAATTAAATAAGTTCTTAAAATTAAGAAACTTTTAATATTTACTGAAACCAGTTAGAATTCAATAACTTGATTAACCAAACTCTGCCTTAGTTTACACTGAGACAGTAAATTGAAAAAAAATACTAATTTTTATATATGTTAAAATTATATTAACTACAGAAGGAAAAATTAGTGTCCTGACCTACATGCAAGCTAACTGTTAAAAAATAACACAAATACATGCATCCATTACTATTCCAGCTTAAAATTAGAATAAAAATGGATAGCCAGAGTGAATGTGTGGGTGTGAGTGTAGGTGTACATCGGAGGATGAGATTTATAGGTGTTGTGTGCACACAGGGAAGTGTGTGTTTGTGCGTGTTCTCACATGTGTGCTTAGTGACAGAAATGCATCAAAACATAATTCTGAACTTAATTCTACAATAAAATATGTAAAGCAATTAATGTATTAATAATTATTTTACTTAACTGTTGTCCCATAAATACACTTGAGAGAGTGATAAAATGTCTGCTTGCATTTATGCTTAAACACTTCAACCTTCCAGTTCCCTAGGTAATATGGTGTTTTGGCTTATCTGCGCGCGTGTAACCTTCTTTGCTGGAATCCAACCCAAACAAACAGATCCTTATGCAATCTGTTGCAGGCTCTTTCATATAAATAGAAGATTAAGAAAAAAATGATGTCTGTCCTACCAGTGATGGTCATTTGTGTAGCTAGTTTTCTACTCTACTCTTGAATTCCCTTTTATTGAGACATGATTTGGGGAACTTCATGTGGGCACCTTAAAAGCTGCATAGACATGAAAGTTTCTGTCAAACACTGACTGTAAAATCTAAGCTTCAATTAATGTCTATCATCAAATTAAGAGATAATGTTAGTTTTCACACTTCAGTTCTCAGCTGAATGCTTTAACTATTCTTATTAGGGGCTCTTAGCACATCAAAAAAGAGATCAGCAAAACAAATGATTCTCTCTGGTCATTTACTAGGCTTCATTGGTAGTTTGATTTGTTAACAATGCATTTCTAATGAATGTAATTGCTGCTTATTTAAGGAGACTAATTTTAGTATAAACACTAAAGAATGAATCTAGGCAACATATATTGTGATTTGCTGCTATATATTCTCTATACATACAAGTACCCATAGGCATATATAGATATATATTATTTTAAAAATCATCACTTTATAATTCAGGTTAAGTTGCCAGTTCCATATATTGGTTTCCAAATCCGCTTTTCCACAAACTTTTCTCTCTCTAACGAAAGAAAATGTATGCTCTATTAAAAGAAAACAAATCTTACAAAATACCTAAAATAACCTACAGATTATTAAATAATAACAATTAACTGCCTATTTTTCCTAATTGATCTGTGCCATGTTAACCAACAAAAATTCTACACATTAGAGAAATCCCTTATTTTATGAAGCTTTTTTGTTTGTTTGTTTTTGAGACAGAATCTTGCTCTGTCACCCAGACTCGAGTGCAGTGGTGTGGTCTCGGCCCACTGCAACCTCCACCTCTGGGGTTCAAGCAGTTCTCCTGTCTCAGCCTCCTGAGTAGCTGGGACTACAGGTGCGTGCCGCCACACCTGGCTAATTTTTGTATTTTAGTAGAGATGGGGGTTTCACTATGTGGGCCAGGCTGGTCTCGAACTCCTGATCTCATGATCCACCCACCTCAGCCTCCCAAAGTGCTGAGATTACAGGCATGAGCGACCTGTGCCCAGCCTAATTTATGAGTTTTTTAAGTCAGTAAATTGTATGTAACATTGCACAATGAATTTACTTTCCAATTAATCTTTCTATTCTAATTGGTCTGATAGGGGAACTAAAGCATTTAACACTACAGGCAGATGCTTACAAAGTCTTTAGGAAATTGACCACTTCATTGTAGTTAAAACGTATATTATTTGGAGGCCTACATGGATATAAGATCGCCTTTTATGTTTGGACTTTGGTACTAAGTTGCAGTAGGCCATACTCCCACTGTTAGCCTTAATAGGATTAGTTTGGGTATTATCAAAAGAACAATTAACACCTGCTGATATGATCACAGATGGTATCAAAGAGTAAGAGGAACTCAATTTTACAGGGACACTCATCTCAGGCTTTTATATTGGTAGTGCCAATACAAAAATGGCTATAAAATTCAATGACAATACTCCCTGTAACTATTAGTGGTACATCACTCAACTGGTAGTAAATTAAATGATTTTTTCTAGCTTGCTTAATTCTGAAGGGGGGGGTCCTGTCTGATTGTCTGATAATACTAGCTCTGTGACTCTGGGTATGTTATTAAATTTATCTGAGGATAGGTTTCTTACCTGCAAAATTGAGACCAATAATAACACACACTCCTGGATGGTTATACAGATTAAATCAGGAAATTCAGGTAAAAGGCATAGCCCCCCTGTTGCTTACACATAAATGTGAGTTCTTATTGTCCTGATTTTTATAATGATGTCTTTAATGATTTTATGGACTCTGCAGGGAAGCTTTAATAAATATGAACTTAGAAATACTTTGTATTTTTGATAGATACCATTAGCCCAATTTCCAAAGAAGGTCTATAATTTTAATTATGAAGTGATGATAAATGTTCTTATATGCCTTTCAACTTCAGAGGGATTTTTTTTCCTGCTATTAGTGGAATATACTTCATTTACAGATTAGATTTCTGAGAATAATTTAATAGTAAATTATTGTTTTAATATACTGCTATTCATTTTCCTAATAGTTTCTTTGCTTCAGTTTTCAAGTGATATTATTATAGTTTCCTTTGATTATAGTATCACTTTCTAGTTTGTGGTTAGTGTTCTGCTAGCTTTATAGAATGAATTAAGGATATTTGGGGCTTTCCTATATTCTGACACATTTAAATAGCTGAGAAGTTATCTATTTCTTGACATTTGTAGAATTTCACAGTGGTATTTTTAAGCAAAGTACAAGGAATTAAAGGGAGAAAAAGACTTCTTTTTCTGTTTTTATTTGGTTACTTATATGTTTAATTATGAGTTAGCTTTGGGAATTTATATTTTTTCTAGAAAAACCCAGAGGTATAGAATTCTAGAAAAACCAAGAAGACCCCTCAAGAAAAGTAGAATTATTCTAGTTATTTGAAGAATCATTCAATCACTTTTAAGGATAGAAAATAACCTTTCAAAAATTGAGTTATCTTTAAGTTTCACAAAGAAATTATAGACATATTCACAAGTATTACATTTATTTGTTCCTTTCTGACAAATTTCATGAAAAATTGTTTTAAGGACAGGAGACAGAAATGTAGCTAAATTAGATAACTTATATAAAATCAAATGCCCAGAACTACTTCACATCCAATAGAAGTAGATAGGCTACTATCAAAATACAAAAAACAAAACAAAGGAACAGAGAACAAGTGTTGGTGAGGATGTGGAGAAATTGGGACCCTCCTCTACTGTTAATGGAAATGTAAGATGGCACAATCTCTAGGGATAACACTATGGTGGCTCCTTAAAAAATCACAAATAGAATTACCATATGATCCAGCAATTTTACTTCTGGGTATACACCCAAAATAATTGAAAGCTGAGCCTTGAAGACACATTTGTACATTTGTTTGTACAAATGACCAGAACATGACTGAGCCAAGCCAAGGAATATCACTTGAACTAGAACCTTTTGAACTATTCTTGACCACTCTAAGTTGAACAGGGCATATTCCTTCCATTCATAGGCTCTAAGTAAAATTTCTTGAGCTTATTTTTGAATCCTTCTGCCCTTTTTTTTTTATTAAAAAAGAAAATAAAATTTTGAAAAGTTAGCAAATAAGGCCCTAAAGCAAAGCATAATAATTTTCCCTCCAAAATAGGTTTCCATCCTATTGAAACATCCTTCTCTGGGAAGCCATGCCTAACTCTTCTAACACTACGCTGTGTGCACGTGTTTCCCTTCAACATACTCACCACATCCTAGTCTTTCTTTACACCTTTCATTTTTCCATATTCTAAATATCTTCTTGTTTTCTCTTCCCCTCTAGAGTGGGAATCTCTGGAGAATAGCCAATAAATAGACGAAGACCTAAGTTTCACCCCCTATTTATACTCTCATGGAATGGATTTCAATTGTTTAGTGTTCTGTCTTCCCCATTAGTCCATAAGTTTTTCTACACATGCAGCAGAGTTAATAAATATCTGAGGACTTATTGTATGCAAAGTGCTGTGCTGCAATCCATGGAGATAGCAGCATAAAAATTTAAAAAACAAAAGGCCAAAAATTTCTTTTCTCACTTAGATTGCATTACAGAGAAGATGGATAATAAACAAGGTAAAGAAATGCAGTCCAGCTCGGGCACGGTGGCTCACATCTGTAATCCCAGCACTTTGGGAGGCTGAGGCAGGCAGATCACTTGAGGCCAGGAGTTTGAGACCAGACTGGCCAACATGGCAAAACCCTGTCTCTACTTAAAAAAAAAAAAAAAAAAAAGCCAGGCATGGTGCTGCATACCTATAATCCCAGTTACTCAGGAGGCTGAGATGGGAGAATCGCTTGGACCCGGCAGGCAGAGGTTGCAGTAAGCTGAGATTGCACCACTGCTCTATAGCCTGGGTAACAAAGCGAGACTCTGCCTCAAAAATAAATAAATAAATAAATAAATAAATATAAATAAAAAGAAAATGATGTACATATTATGTTGCATATGTCATAAGATAAAAACAAAACAGAGAAGGGGATATAAAGTGTCTGCCTATGTAAAAAAAGGAAAATATTATTATTTCATTATTTTACAGAATTAAATAATTATTAATTTTATATATATATATGCCTAGCCAAGTACAAAGACGAAGAGTTCAATAAATAATAGCTGTAGATGATAACTATGACGATGATAAAAGAAAAGAATAGGAGGAGGAAAAGAAGGAAGAGAAAAAAGAAGAGATATATTGTATTCTTTACAAAACTATCACAAGACTTGAAGCGAATTATCAAAATTATGATAAATTGTTTTAGTACAAACAAATAGATATGGTACAGTGCCTGTACTCGGCTTGCAACTTATGTTGAGGTGATTCCCACTCACATTGGCCCTTGTCCTTGTCAGCCCTCTGTGCCACAGTTGACAGAGCCAAGGGGCCAAAGAAGCTGTGCCCTTGGGTTGTCCGTGATTGGCACCTCTTGATGAGGTGAAGATATCATTCCTAATATATTTCTTTTCATGTATCCTTTGATAAAACTAAATGCAGTTCAAATTTTATTAAAACATTTAAAACTTTTTTTTTATTTTTGAAACAGAGTCTTGCTCTGTCACCCAGGATGGAGTGCAATGGTGCCATCTTGGCTCACTGCAGCCTCTGCCTCCCAGGTTCAAGCGATTCTCCTGTCTCAGCCTCCCAAGTAGCTGGGATTACAGGTGCCCACCACCATGCCTGGCTAATTTTTGTATTTTTAGTAGAGATGGGGTTTCACCATGTTGGTCAGGCTGGTCTCGAACTCCTGACCTTAGGTGATCTACCCACCTTGGCCTCCCAAAGTGCTGGGATTACAGGCATGAGTCACTGCGCCTGGCCTATTAAAAACATTTTATGTTGTGTGAGTCTGATAGCCAACTTCTAACTAGAGTTGTGCTTCTTCAGTAATCTGAGTAGGTAAGACTCCCCTTTTGGAAGTCAAATTCTACAAACTCCAGTGCCCACAGGAACCAGGAAGGTAACATAAATAAGAGAATGAGCAAAAACTTAAAGGAATGAGAGGGAGAATGGCTGTGGCAGGCTGAATAATGGCCCTTTCTCCCCCATAAAATCAAGTTAAGGATCTTGAGATTGGGAGATTTTCTTGGATTATCTGGGTAAATTCAATGTAATTGAAAAGATCTTTATAAAAGGGAAGCAAGAAGGTCAAAGACAGAGGAGATGTGGTAGAATAATCAGAAGTTGGAGTAATGTTCTTTGAAGATGGAGGAGGGGCCCATGAGTCAAGGAACACAGGTGCCCTCTAGAAGCTGAAAGTGGCAAGAAAATAGATTCTCCCTTAAAGCCACCAGAATGAACACAGCACTGCCAAAACTGATTTTAACTGACATCCAGAACTGTAAGGAAGTAAATTCAGCATTTATGTTTTAACAGAAATTCATCTTTTAAAAAATAAAACCCAGGAGAATAGATAAAGGTCATGCATTCAGTATTGAGTCCAGATCAAAGATTTCTGGTTTTCAACTACTGCTAAACTGTGATTTCAAGGAAAACTTTTTTTTTTTTTTTTTTTTTTTTAGGCAGAGTCTTGCTCTGTCACCAGGCTGGAGTGCAGTGGCGTGATTTCAGCTCACTGCAACTTCTGACTCCCTGGTTCAAGCGATTCTCCTGCCTCAGCTGCCCAAGTAGCTGGGATTACAGGCACGTGCCACCATGCCTGGCTAATTTTTGTATTTTTAGTAGAGATGGGGTTTCACCATATTGGCCAGGATAGTCTTGATCTCTTGACATCATGATCCACCTGCCTTGGCCTCCCAAAGTGCTGGGATTACAGGCGTGAGCCACCGTGCCTGGCTGGAAAACATTTTTTTTACAATTTCATTTTAGTAAAAAATGCAATAGGCTCCCAGGGAGATGGGCAGCCACCATCACTGTAGATCCAATAGGCCATTTTCCCCTGCTAATGACTGGGAGAATGGACAGTTTGGACTGGGAGGCATTCCTCAGAGTGCAGCACAGTGGCTGTGGCAGATCGTAGCCAGACTGTTTCTTTGTGGGGATGGGGGTGTGTAGACCCATCCATCCCTCCTCATCAGCCAGGGCAGGAATTACAGCAACTCCAGCCAGGGGTTTATGAACAGAACTCTGATCTCCCTGGGATGGAGCCCTTGGGGGAAGGGGCAACTGCAGGGTCCAGTTCAGCAGACTTAGTCTTTCCCACCTGCTGGCTCTGAGGAGACTGGGCAGTCCAGATGAGTGGAATTCCCCTGAGTGCAGTGCACCCACTCCATCAAGGGGCAGCCAATCTACTTCTTCAAGCAGCTCCTGATCCTGTGCCTACTGACTAGGTGAGACTCCCCCAGCAGGGGTCTCCAGACATCTCATACAGGAGAGTTCTGGCTGGCATCAGTTTGGTGCCCCCCCCGGGGCAGAGCTCCCAGAGGAAGGAGCAGGCAGCTATCTTTGCTGTTGTGCAACCTCCACTGGTGATACCTCCATGTAGTGTAGGGACCCAGGCACACAGGGTCTGGAGTGGACCTCCAGCAAGCTTCATCAGCCCTGTGGAAGAGGGGCTTGACTGTTAAAAGAAAAACAAAGAAACAGAAAGCAACAACAACAATATCAACAAAAAGACCCCCAAAAGCCTCATACAAAGGTCAGCAGCTTCAAAGATCAAAAGTAAATAAACCCACGAAGATGCAACACAAAAACACTGAAAATTCAAAAAGCCAGAGTGCCGCTTCTCCTCCAGATGATCACAACACCTCTCCAGCAAGGGCATAGAATTGGGCTGAGGCAGACATGGATGAATTGGCAGAAGTAGGCTTCAGAAAGTGGGTAATAATGAACACTGCTGAGCCCAAGGAGTATGTTCTAACCCAATGCAAAGAAGCTAAGAACCATGGTAAAACATTACAGGAGTTGTTAATCAGAATAACCAGTTTAGAGAGGAACATAAATGACCTGATAGAGCTTAAGAACTTCACAATGCAACCACGAGTATCAATAGCCAAATAGACCAAGTAGAGGAGAGAATCTCAGAGCTTGAAGACTGTCCTGCTGAAGTAAGTTAGGGAGACAAGATTACAGAAAAGAGAATGAAAATTAATAAACAAAACCTCCAAGAATTGTGGGATTATGTAAAAACACCAAACCTACAATGGATTGGGGTACCTGAAAGAGATGAGGACAACAAAACCAAGTTGGGAAACATACATCAGGGTATCTTACAGGATAATTTTCCCAACCTAAAAAGACAGGCCAACATTCAAATTCAGGAAATCCAGAGAACCCCAGTAAGATACTCCATGAGATCAACCCCAAGACATATAATCATCAGATTTTCCAAAGTTAAAATGACAGAAAAAATGTTAAGGGCAGCCAGAAAAAAAAGGTGAGGTCTCCTACAAAGGGAAGCCCATCAGACTAACAGTGGACCTCAGTGAAAACAAGCCAGAAGAGATTGGGGGACAATGTTCAACATTCTTAAAGAAACTAATATCCAACCCAAAATTTCATATCCAGCCAAACTAAGCTTAATAAGGGAAGGAGAAATAAAATCCTTTCCGGACAAGCAAATGCTAAAGGAATTCATCACCACCAGGCCTGCTCTGCAAGAGTTCCTGAAGGAAGTACTGAATATGGAAAGGAAAAACCATTACAGCCACTACAAAAACACACTGAAGAATACAGACCAATGACACTATGAAGCAACCACGTTAACAAGTCTGCTAAATTAACTAGCCAGCGTCATGATGACAGGATCAAATTCACACATAGCAATATTGACCTTAAATGTAAATGGGCTAAATGCCCCCAATTAAAAGACACAGAATGGCAAGTTGAATAGGGTCAAGACCCATCAGTGTGCTGTATTCAAGAGACTCATCTCATGTGCAAAGGCACACATAGGCTCAAAATAAAGGGATGGAGGAAAATTTAGCAAGCAAATGGAAAGCAGAAAAAAGCAGGGGTTGTAATCCTAGTTTCTGACAAAACAGACTTTAAGCCAACAAAGATCAAAAAAGATGAAGGGCATGACATAATGGCAAAGGGTTCAATTCAACAAGAAGAGTAACTATCCTAAGTATATATGCACTCAATACAGGAGCACCTAGATTTATAAAACAATTGCTTAGAGACCTTCAAAGGGACTTAGATTCCTATGCAATAATAGTGGAAGACTTTAGCACCCCACTGTCAATATTAGACAAATCATCGAGATAGAAAATTAACAAAGATATTCAGGACTTGAACTCAGCTCTGAATCAAGTGGACCTGATAGATACCTACAGAACTCTGCATCCCTAAACAACAGAATATACATTCTTCTAGGTGCCACATGTCACTTACTCTAAAATTGATCACATAATTGGAAGTAAACCACTCCTCAGCAAGTGCAAAAGAACTGAAATCATAACAGTCTCTCAGACTACAATGCAATTAAATTGGAACTCAAAATTAAGAAACTCACTCAAAACCACACAACTACATGGAAATTGAATAACCTGCTGCTGAATAACTCTGGGTAAATAAAGAAATTAAGGCAGAAATCAAGAAGTTCTTTCAAATGAATGAGAACAAAGAAACAGTATACCAGAATCTCTGGGACACAGCTAAAGCAGTGTTAAGAGGGAAATTTATAACACAAAATCCCCATATCAGAAACCTAGAAAGATCTCAAATCGACATCCTCACATCACAACTAAAAGAAATAGAGTACCAAGAGCAAACACAACCCAAAGCTAACAGAAGATAAGAAATAACCTGGATCAGAGTGGAACTGAAAGAGATAGAAATATGAAAAACCCTTCAAAAATTACCAAATCCTGGAGCTGTTTTTTTGAAAAAATTAATAAAATAGAAGACCACTAGCTAGATTAATAAAAAAGAGAGAAGAATCAAATAGACACAATAAAAAATTTTAAAGGAGATAGCACCACAGACTCTACAGAAATACAAACAACCATCAGAGAATTCTATGAATCCCTCTACGCAAATAAACTAGAAAATCTAGAAGACAGGGATAAATTCCTGGACACATACACCCTTCCAAGACTGAATCAGGAGGAAGTTAAATCCCTGAATAGACCAATAACTAGTTCTGAAATCGAGGCAGTAATAAATAGCCTACCAACCAAAAAAAGCCCAAGACAAGAAGGATTTACAGCTGTGTACTACCAGAGGTAAAAAGAGGAGCTATTACCATTTCTTCTGAAACTATTTCCAACAATTGAAAAGAAGGGACTCCTTCCTAACTCCTTTTATGAGGCCAGTATCATCCTGATAAGAAAACCTTGAAGAGATACAAAAAAAAAAAAAAAAAAAAAAGAAAAGAAAAGAAAACATCAGGCCAATATACCTAATGAACATCAGTGCAAAAATCCTCAAAAGAAAAACTACTGGCAAACTGAATACAGCATCATATCCAAAAGCTTATCCACCATGATCAAGCTGACTTCATTCCTGGGATGCAAGGCTGGTTCAACATACGCAAATCAATAAACGTCACTTATTACATACACAGAACTAAAGACAAACACCACGTTTATCTCAATAGATGCAGAAAAGGCCTCTGATAAAATTCACATCACTTCATGTTAACAACTCTCAATAAAATTGGTATTGAAGAAACATACCTCAAAATAATAAAAGAGCCATTTATGACAAACCCACCGCCAATATCATACTGAATTTCCCTTTGAAAACCGATACAAGTCAAGGCTGCCTTTTCTTACCACTCCTATTCAACATAGTATTGAAAATTCTGGCCAGGGAAATCAGGCAAGAGAAAGAAATAAAGGGTATTCAAATATGAAGAGAGGAAGTCAAATTGTCTTTGATTGCGGATGACATGATCTCATGTCTAGAAAACACTATCATCTTAATCCAAAAGCTTCTTAAGCTGATAAGCAACTTCAACAAAGTCTCAGGATACAAAGTCAGTGTGCAAAAATTACAGGCATTATTATATACCAACAACAGACAAAGCAGATAGCCAAATCATGAATGAACTTTCATTCACAATTGCTACGAAGACAATAAAATACCTCGGAATGTAACTAACAAGGGAAATGAAGGACCTCTTCAGGGAAAGCTGTAAACCACTGCTCAAGGCAATCAGAGAGAACACAATCAAATGGAAAAACATTCCATGCTCATGGACAGGAAGATTCAATATCGTGAAAATGGTCATATGCCCAAAGTAATTAATAGATTCAGTGTTATTGCCATCAAACTACCACTGACAGAATTAGAATTCTAATTGTCTAACAGAATAGTGATATCAGAAATAAGACCACACATCTACAATCTTCTGATCTTCAACAAACCTGACCAAAAAAAAAGCAATGGAGAAAGGACTCTCTATTTAATAAATGGTGCTGGGATAACTGGCTAGTCATATGCAGAAAACTGAAACTGGAACCCTTCCTTATACCTTATACAAAAATAAACTCAAGATGGATTAAAAACTTAAATGTAAAACCCAAAACTATAAAACCCCTAGAAGAAAATCTAGGCAATACCATACAGGACATAGGCACAGGCAAAGATTTCATGACAAAAATATGAAAAGCAATTGTAACAAAAGCCAAAATGGACAAATGGGATCTAATTAAACTAAAGAAATTCTGCACAGCAAAAGAAACTGTTTTCAGAGTGAACAGGCAACCTACAGAATGAGAAAAAAATTTTGCAACCTATCCATCTGACACAGGTCTAGTATCCAGAGTCTACAAAGAACTTAAATTTACAAGAAAAAAACAATCACATTAAAAAGTGGGCAAAGGACATGAACAGACACTTCTCAAAAGAAGACATTGATGCAGCCAACAAACATATGAAAAAAAACCCTCAACACTACTGAGCATTAGAGAAATGGAAATCAGAACCACAATGAGATACCATCTCACACCAGTCAGAATGATGATTATTAAAGTCAAGAAACAACAGATGCTGGCAAGGTTGCAGAGAAATAGGAACACTTTTACACTGTTGGTGGGAATGTAATTTAGTTCAACCATTGTGGAAGACAGTGTGAAAATTCCTCAAAGACCTAGAACCAGAAATACCATTTGACCCAGCAATTCCATTACCCGGTATATACCCAAAGGAATATAAATCATTGTATTTTATATGAACACATATATTTTATATGAACACATATGTTCATTGCAGCACTATTGACAATAGCAAAGACATGGAATCAACCCAAATATCCATCAATGATAGACTGGATAAAGAAAATGTGGTACATATACACCATGGAATACTATGCAGCCAAAAAAAGGAATGAGATGATGTCCTTTGCAGGGATATGGAAGGAGCTAGAAGTCATTATCCTCAGCAAACTAAGTAGGAACAGAAAACCAAATACCGTATGCTGTCACTCATAAGTCAGAGCTGGACAATGGGATCACATGGACACAGGGAGGGGAACAACACACACTGAGGCCTATCAGGGGCATCAGGGGAGAGAAAGCCTCACGAAAAATAGCTGATGCATGCTGGGCTTAATTTTTAGGTGATGGGTTGATAGGTGCAGCAAACCACCATGGCACATGTTTACCTATGTAAGAAACCTGCACACCCTGCATAGGTACCTCAGAACTTAAAATAAACATTTTTTTAAAATGCAATAAAAACACCATGTCAAGTATGCATAATTTACCCTGTCATATTAAAATGGTAAAAATAATAATTCTCTCTAATGATAATGCTAATTACTTTTAGGTAAAAAAAGAAAAGGGGAAAGACAATAGGTCAATTCTTTGTCACTCATCATTGGTTTCCACTACTGCAAATTTATGCCTAATTTTAAGAGACAAGCTTCCTAATCAGTTATGATAAAATATGTTAGAAGTTCAGCTTCACAATTAACCATGGTATGTGAGTTTCCTTGATTTTCAGTATGAAATTTGCTTCTACAAATTATAATCAGTATAAATGGAAAGAACCTTATTGGAAGAGAAACATTTAAATTGCTATCTCTCTAAAATACTGATAAAGTAATATTTTTAATATTATGCATATAGAATCACAGCTGAAATCTAGAATAAATATAGTAAGTCAAATTTTTATTTAATCAATAAAATTATCCAGAAAAGTAGTCAATTTATTAACACTTAACAACCTTATGGTTAAACTTTTCTCCATATTAAACATTCATCAGGTGCCAGAGTAAAATAATCCTTTGCCTGTGTTATAAATAAAGAAGTAAAAAGTGACATAAGAAATTGACAGTTTTTAGCCAGATGTGGTGGTGTGCAAGCCTGTAGTCCCAGCTACTGGTGGAAGGGTGGGAAGGGCGTGAGGCGTGGAAACTGAGGCAGGAGGAATGCTTGAGCCCAGGAGAGTGAGGCTGCAGTGAGCCAAGATCACACCACTGCCCTGCAGCCTGGGTGACAAAACAAAACCCTGTCTCAAAAAATAAATGAATAAATAAATTGACAATTTTATGTCAAAAATTTGTAATTATCTTCCAAAACTCCAATACTAATATCTTAAATTGAACAGTGCTAGCTAATATTTAATCAATTTTCCAATAAATTTAGAGGTCACACTAATTAGTAAAAGTAGGTTGGATCAAAAATATAAGCCAATCAAGACCAAGATCAGGATTAAACATGAATGATTCTCTTAGTTCAAGTTAAGACTTCATGACTGGGGGACTTGTAGGGAGTAACAGGGACAAGATTTAACATCTTGCCAAAAACAACCAAACAAAGAAAAACAAATAAACAAAATCCAACAGATAAAATATATGAAATAATGGTTTGCAAGACAGCGGGTATCTGGCAACAAGGGACAGCAATTGCTGAAAGCTAAGGAATAACTCTCATAGGTGTGCCTTACAAGACAGACTCTGGGAGAATAGTTGCAAAAGAAAGAACACAGAGATCTGCAGACAGGACTCTTGCATATTTAGCAAAGTATTGACCAATGCATTGTTGTAAGGAAAATACACAAGGCAAGGGAAAGAATCATCTGAAAGGGTTAGTGGGAAGAATACTTAGAGCTTACACAGGGCTGGGAATGTTGCCTGTTTTCACCGGATTTGAAAAACTTCAATTTGCAAATCACTGGATAGAGTATCAGAAGGGTCTTAGTAGTGGAGAACTACTATCCCTAGATTAAACACTGCTCTGGTCTTGCAAGTGAATCTTAAAGGCAAGTCCTCAAAAATGAAACAGTTTCCAAGTAAATGTGTCTCAGATGACACTCAAAAATACTCATAGAAATACAAAAATATATTCACAAAAATCAATTTGCAATCTCTGGTGGCCAGCCAGAGATTACTAGGCATATAAAAGCAAAACATGAGCCATAATGAGAAGAAAAATCAATAAACTGAAATCAACCCAGAACTATATTATAACAAATTTTATAATTAGAAGACAAAGACATTACAACAGTGATTACAATTGTATTCCATATGTTCAAAAATTTAAGAGACATGGAAGATGTAAAAATAATCAGATTTCTAGAGATGAAATCTCAAATACCTGAGTTGAAAAATGCCCTGAAAGAGATTAATGACAGATTAAGCATTGCGGAAGAAAAGATTAGTGTATTTGAAGACAGCAACAGAAGGAATTTAAAATAAAACATAGAGAAAAAAATATATATGTATATATAGTTCAATGAAAAGAGCATCAGGCTAGGTGAAGTGGCTCACACCTGTAATCCCAGTACTTTGGGAGGCTGAGGCAGAAGGATCACTTAAACCCAGGACTTTGAGACTACCCTGGGCAGCATAGCAAGTCCCTGTCTCTACAACAAAATTAAAACGATAGCCAGGAGTGGTGATACACACCTGTGCTTCCAGCTACTCTGGAGGCTGAGGTGAGAGGATAGCTTAAGCCTGGGAGGTTGAGGCTGCAGTGAGCAGTGATTGCGCCACTGCACTCCAGCCAAGCTGACAGGGCGAGACTCCAGCTCAAAAAAAAAGAAAAAAAAAAGAAAGAAAAGAAAAGAGCATCAGTAAATTCTGGGACAAATTCAAATGATCTTCCCAAGTACAAGAAACATGAAAACTATATTAGGACATGATATAATCAATTTGATCCATTCATTGATAAAGAGAAAATCACAAAAGAAGCTGGGAGTGAGGAGGAAGACATGTTACCTACAGAGAAACAAAGATACGAATGATGGAACATTGTTAACGTGCTGAGAGAAAAAAGATCTGTCGAACTATAATTCTGTACTCAGCAAATATGTCTTAAAAAATGAAGGTAAAGACTTTCTCAGACATACAAAAGCTGAAATAATTTATCACCAACACTTGAACAATGTAAGAATTGTTAAAGTAAAAGAAGTGAAAATATGGATGTCTGCAAAAGCATGAACATTTTAATGTGCAAGATGGAACACCTCTGGTGTTCCAGAGGTGAATGGTACAGCAAATGCTTCAAAGTTAATAAACCAGGCAAGGCTCTTTCAGAAGGTGTTCAAATGAGTTTTGACTGAATCACCATGCACTGAATCCTGCATCCTCTTCTAGTTTACTTGAAGTCTATAATTCACCTATTCATTCTTCACACTTTTTGTTCTTTTTTATTCTCTAAAGCCTCCAAATGCTCATTTATTTGCTTATCTGTATCATGTGTGATGTGTCCTTCCTCCCCACTTTTTACAATACTCAGCCTGGCCGTAGACTTGACTTCAGTCAAAATAAAAATACTCCACTTGACTTTGCTAGGGTGAATGCATACCTTCCTTGTAAGACTATAGAGGAATTAGCTGATTCTCTGTTCTCTAACAGTGAATCAATTTCTGGGTAGAGAATTGAGAAACTAGGAAGTAGATGAAAGAGCTAATGAAACTTGAGAAGCTATAATCCTGTGCTCAGTGTCCTCCTGTCCCTCTGGCCTGATCTGTCTTCTTGGATGTCAATTACACTTTCAAAGAAATTTAGGGTTACTCATATGGCTAATAATTGGCATGTGCCTTTAGGTGTTTCCCCAAACTGTGAACAGACCCAAGGCATGTTTCTGACTACTTGTTATCTGGCCCAGCAGAGATGTGGATTCTCCTGTAATTCTCAACTCAGAACATGTTGCTGGATCAATCTGAACATGTCCCAAGGGAAGTATGGTCAGTTTTTATTTTTGCAATCAATATTGTACTGTGAACCACATCCAATTGCTGTGCAAAAGACAATGTGTGATGCATGATCACAGGCTACCTTTTACTTCCAGGCATCAGTCTTTGGTTGAATAAACTTACATTGTATGAACAGGTAATGTTTGAAGCTTCCAACAAAAATGTATTTGCCTACTTTCAAATCATGCGACTCCTGGACTCATCAACTTGGGTCACAAGACTATCTGGCCTATCCTTTACATTTGAATAAGAGGTCCTCATGGGCTATGTCCCAGTCCTTTCTTTTACTAAGCCTTCATTCATGTTCCAGCTCCAATAGAATTAGAAAGCATTCAGTAATCTGCTTCCAGTTCAACAGGCACTTTAGCAAGATTCCCAAATTTGTCTCCATTATGGCCAGGTGGACCAATTGTTACAGCTTTCCCAGCCAGTGGGTTCGGGTTCCAGTGATAGACCTGGAGCCTATGGAAACCATGAATGGGAAAACCTGCTTGCAAGAACACCTGTCTCACAGGTACACCCAAAAGGCTAACCTTGGAGATTCAGTTTGAACCAATTTGAAGGCATTGTTTTCAACATTATGTACTCCCTCTGCAATTGGTATTGCTTTTCCTTTTTAAATATATTTTGTTTCAATCAGGATGTTAACATTGTCCATATATTGCAAGAAATTGATAGATCTCCATTTGCATTCAATGACCCTAGTCCTAGACAACTACAAATCTACTTTTTTGTTTCTACAGATTTGACTAATTCCAGAAGTTTTATATAGTGGAATCATACATTATTGTATTTCCTGATTGATTGCATTCATTTATCATAATATTTTCAAGTTTATTTCATATTGTAGTAATTATCCATACTCTAAACTTGTTATGACTGAATAATTTATTGTATGAATGTACCATATTTTATTTATTCATCAACTGATAGACATTTGTGTTGTTTTCAGCCTTTGACTATTATTACTAGTGCTTCTATAAATATTCACATAAAATTTTTGTGTGGACATATGTTATTATTTTGCAAAGGGGCGGGGAGGATGGAATACACCCAGGGATGGAGTAGCCAAGCCCTGTGGTAACTAAACATTCAGATTTTAGAGGACCTATCAGACTGTTTTCCAAAGTGGTGGTACCATTTTATTATTCCCCATAGCAGTATATGAACGTTCCAGGTTTTCCACAACCTCACCAATGTTTATTATTATCTGTGTTTTTGATTAGGGCCATTTTAGAGGGTGGATATGAAGTGGTTATCTCATCGTGCCTTTGATTTTTATTTTCCTGATAGCTAATGATGTTGAGCATGTTCTCATGTGTTTATTGGCCATTCATATATACTTTTTGAATACCATCTGTTTAGATTATTTGCCCATTTGTTAATTTAATTATTTGTCTTATTATTGAATTATAAGTGTTCTTTATATATCTGGTTGCAAAGTCCGTTAGCAGATACATGATTTTTAAATTTATTCCATTCTGCAGGTTGTCTTTTAACTTTGATAATGTCATTTGAAGCACAAAGTATTAATTCTGATGACATCCAATGTATCTATTTTTTTCTCATCACTTGTGTTTTTGTGTTATATCTAAGAAAACTTTGCCTAACACAAGATCACAAGGATTTACTTCTATATATTTTCTAATAGTTTCATAGTTTTAGGTCTTACATTGAGGTCTGTGATCTACTTTGAATTAATTTTTGTATTTGATGTTACTTTTGATGAGGATGACTCAAACATTTGACCTCACCATTTAATGGACTATGGAAATACAGCTTTCAAGCTACCCATTGCTTCTTTGCTGTAATAACCTATATTAACTTTCATGTGGAAATACAGGAGTGTCCCCAGTTCACATGACAATCCTAGAAACGTATGACCTTTACTTTTATCCCTTTCCTGTGAACGATATGGAAATTGCTCAGTTTCTGCCTAAAACTCTTACAAATTCCTCTTTAGCCAGGATCAATACAATGCTGCATTCTATCTAAGAACCCTTCTTTCTCCCACCAGTTATTCATAATAATTGCAGATGTATCGGAATATACTCTACAGGTCTTGCTGGACCCCCTGTAGATGGCAGGTCCTGTATATGGTATACCGAGGCCAGGTCATCCACACATGCAACACCTGGACTTGATGTCCTCAGGTGACTACTAATACCACAGACTCTTCCTCATAAAACAAGGTTGTCAAGATGTTGTCCAACTTTTGCATAAAAGAATTTTAATACAAAAATTATCTGGGTGTGGTGGCACATGACTGAGGTCCCAGCTACTCGGGAGGCAGAGGTGAAGATGAAGGTGTGAGAATTGCTTGAGCCTGGGAGGTTGAGGCTGCAGTGAGCTGTGATCACATCACTGTACTGTGGTCTGGGAGATAGAGACCCTGTCTCAAAAAAATTAAAAAAATTTTTTAGAGATAGGGTGTTACCAGAGATGGAGTCTCACTAGGGTGTAGTGGTGTGATCATAGCTCACTGTAACCTTGAACTTCTGGGCTCAAGCAATCCTTCTGCCTCAGACTCTTGAGTAGCTATGACTACAGGCACCACACTTAGTCAATTGTGTGTGTGTGTGTGTGTGTGTGTGTGTGTGTGTGTGTGTGTGTGTTCATGTAGAGATAGGGGTCTCACTCTGTTGCCCAAGCTGGTCTCAAACTCCTGGACTCCAACTCCTAGGCTCAAGTGATTCTCCTGCCTCAGCCACCCAAAGTGCTGGAATTACAGAAATGTACCACCTCTCCAGCCCAACTTTTGCATTTTGTTTAATATTTTTCCTGTTATTATTAAGAAAGACTATTAAGTGAGTGAATGGTCATGGTAGGAGAAAAAAGTGATAACAATGATTTAAAGTCCCTTTTTGCAGTGATAGTTCCTTGGAGATTGCATTCTGTGACATCTTTCTAGAAATTACAGTGTTTGATATAATTAATCTTATAATGATTTTATACTACACCATTAAATCAAGCTTTACCAATATGAAAGGTAGAAGGATACATGCAATTAAAGGAAGAGTGTGAATGATAGCCTGTGTACATAACTACATACCTCAGACATCATGATAAACTAAACATAAGAGGTTTAAGGTGTTTTTCCAGTCACTATAAAATATTCCTACAAAAAGTATAGTCATATGGCCCCAGACAACGTGTAAAATGATATTACCATTGCCTATTTCAAATTCACCATTTATCTAAAGCTGTGTTGGTAGAGGTAGGATGGACAGGAAACTCACACAGCAGAAAATCAAAACAAAAATATGGCTGGAAAAGTGAATGAAATTCTGCTTCATATACATTTTTTTCAGTGACTTTTGAAGAATGAGACAGATTATAAAAATTAAAAAACCACAATTCCATTTTAATATTTAATCAGCACTTGAGAGATGAAAGAATTGGTTTCATAATATTGAAATGATCAGTTTGAAAGTAAGAACAAGCAAGAAAATAAAATTTGTTATCCCTCTGGATGATGTTATTGCAAATTTATAAAATTACTTATTTCATGAAAGTCATTTGAAGATACATATTCAAGCCAATAAATTCTTAATGAATGGAAATAAAAGGGGAGAAAACCCTTAACAGAATTTAAAGCTAAACCTTCATTTTTGTGACGGAATGTTACAACAAAAGAAAATCCAAAGTCTACAGTTACTCTTCACATAATTTTTAGTGCAACTATGAAGTAGCAACACCAATATACTAATATCTAGTGTACTCACTGTAAAAAGATAAAATACTCAAGGTGTTCAATTCTGATTGTTGAAACAGCACTTATTAGTGCTTATGTTGCAAAGAACAACCATCTAAAAATAGATTTATATTTAAGTACATCATATACTATTCAATGTCACAAAAAGTGTATCAATTTGTTTTTTAGTTTTCATGTTAAACAAGAATCACTAATAAGTCTATAGAAAATGATTCAACAGTATTTTTTCTTGACAATTTTTCAGTGACAGATCTCTATAAAGATTATTAAATTATTAAAATTTGCCATAGTCACTCTTCTGTGCAATAGCTCTCTAAAGCTTATTTTTCTTGTCTAACTAAAACTTTGTACCCTTTGATCAACATCAATAAGAGTGCACTATATATTTCAAAATTGCTAAGACTAGATTTCAAATATATTCACCACAAAAAAAGATAAGCATATGAAGTGATGGATTTAATTAGTCTATTTAATCATTCCACATTGCAAACATATATCAAAATATCGCATTGTACCCCCAAAATAATAATATGCAATTATTATTTTCAGTGGAAAATAAAGTTTAAAAGCATGTTTTTAAATCACGTTGTATCAAATTTAGGCTGCTGTTCCAAAAACATTACCTACAAATCCATGGCAAGGTAGACCACTTGGCAAGGCTTCTAATATTATAGAGCAAGAAACACCTATAGCACGATGCTTTTGGCAAGACTACTACTCTTTTCAAAATGGTATGTAGATTTAAGCCTAATTGCAATTTCCTTTGGGACTAGTCTCATTCTGTATATTTGTTTTAGTTTGTACCTACACAGACATATGTCCTGATAATTTGATATCATATTTATAAAAAACCAAAGCTTTACTATTTTGACATATTTACCAGACATATCATTTCCTTTATTAAAAAGGAGCAATATTGGCCATCATGGTGTCTCACGTCTGTAATCTCAACTCTTCGGGAGGCTGAGACAAGAAGTTCCCTTGAGCTCAGGATTTTGAGACCAGCCTGGGCAACATGGCGAAATCTCATCTCTACAAAAAATACAAAAAATTAGCCAGGCATGGTGGCACACACCTGTAGTCTCAGCTACTAGGGAGGCAGAGGTGGGAAGATCACTGAGCCCAGGGGGTTGAGGCTGCAGTGAGCTATGTTCACACCACTACACTCCAGCCTGGACAGCAGAGTGAGATCCTGTCTCAAGCAAACTAAAAACAGTAATACTGGCTTGCCCAGTGGCTTATGCCTGTATAACGACAGCACCTTGGGAGACCAAGGCAGGAAGATTGGTTGAAGCCAGGGGTTCGAGACCAGCCTAGGCAACAAAACAAGGCCCTGTATCTATCAAAAAAACAAAAAACAAAAAACAGCAGTATCAAAAATCAATGTTTAGTAAAAATAAAGCACATATTTTCTTATTCTCAACTCACATATTCCCCACTTAGCACATCAGAAAGTTTTGAAAAGACTTTCATAAAATATTTAAAGCAACAGCTTAAACGTGGAATCATAGCCCCCACTCCACTCTTCACGCTGAGAAATATCAACATCTTCTTAAAATAAGAGACAAGATACTGAAACCTATTGTTTCAAGAAAGGGCATATGTTGATTAATCTCAACGGGTGGCAGGGAAACTCACTAATATTCACTCGTAGCTTTAAAACAATTATTTTACATAGCTTTACAACAATTATTCCCAAAGTGGAGGCCTTCAGCATCAGCATCACCTGGGAGCTTGTTAATGATGCAAATTCCTAGGTACCACCACAGACTTACTTAGTCAGACATGCTCAGGGTGGGGTCTAGCAATCTGGTTTAATAGGCTCTGCAGGTGATTCTGTGCAGGCTAAAGTTTAGGAATGACTACTTTAAAGCAATTATAGAGAGACTAGGAAGGAAAAAAAAATCACCCATGCTGGAAATCATGATGTAGAACCAGAAGCTTTAATGTCATAAACTAGGCTAGAAATCTTGCTCTAGAACTTTTTAGGAGTATCATATTAGGAACAATACTTCTCTTACATTTCTTATTTATACAATGGGAGAAGTAAAATATGTATTGAACCATTATTTTAGGTACAAAAATAATATGTATAAAAGACATATTGGAGTCTCACCAAGAGTATTAACTGAAGAATATTAAAGTAATAATATTCTTAAACAAAACATAGATTGTGTTATTAACAACAGTAATTTTTTCCTAAAGTTTGAATGAAGCCAGCTCCAGCTGTCTTTCACGTGTCCATGTTCAAATATCAGTCAAGCAAATTGTGTTTGATACACAAAATTAGAAGATGGCAGGTTTCCATCCAGTCACACCAAGAGGCCTACGAATGGTTTACTTATTTAGTAGATTAATCTCTCCATGTTATCCCAGCTAAGAAAGTTTGTTACAAACTTTTTATTCAGGAATTTAAAACTACATTTGAAGTTATTAAAATATGAATAATAAATGTCCATGAAATGGCCTGAGATCAAACAGTTAAAGTATGTATGGTTTGGTTTCTCAGAGAAGGCAACAAAAAACAGGAACAAAAACAACAGCAAAAAATCCCCAAAACACTAAACAATAAAGGGGGCAGTGTTTATGTAGTCTAAGCATCTAGAAGAAAACCGATCCCTAAAGTTTTATTTATTTATTTATTTATTTATTTATTTAGGCTGTATACTTAGGTTTTAAGGATATCATAACATCCCAAAAATGTGTTTTTAAATAGTTGCATGCCCCAGTTGCCCCTGTTTATTTAAGATTGGTATGCAGTCTCTGAGATAATCTACTATTTTGGCTTTGCTAGAACATGTCCCTTTTCCTCTTGAATTTCTTTAAGTCACACGGCGAGCTGTTAAAGTCTCTCTCTAACTCCCTGGGCAGAGCATGCTAACGGGAAGCTGGAGTTTTCCGAAGGAGCTGTCATGATCTGTTGACTCAATGATCTGTTAATGACACCTGAAGGTTCACAGCAGCGCCGGCCTCAGCTTGCTGCTGCTACAGCCGGCCCATTGAGGATGCAGGTGCATTGTAAGAGGCACCCAAATCAGCCATTAAGGTCACTTTTATTAGAGGCTTCTACTTACAAATCAGGGCTCTCAGGGAGCATGATTCAATCTAGCATGACCCTGACGGCTCAGAAGAGAGTCACACTTTTAAGGAGCAGCCAAGCCTTTTTATAATAAAAAAAAAAAAAGGAAGGAAAATAATATTGCTCTGTTTTTTTCTTTCACAGACTCATATATCCTATTGTGCAAAAAATTTAAGAACAATGGTTCCCACCCTACACCTTCATTTCACCCCTCCCCCCGCCGCCCCGCTAGTGGTAACTAATTTTAAAGGAAATCAGCACCCCATCTCCATTTTTAGTCAATAAAAATTAATTCCTTTGCAAATGTCACATGTGATTTGCTGAAAAAAGCCATCTGAGCAAAGGCATAACTCTAAAAAGTTTAATAGACTAGAAGTGCATACACTGGTAATGAAAGATAAATATCTTTAAAAACTCAAGGAGTACCCCTATTCCAGCCTAGCCCCATATGGGACATTTTGCCTATACATTATTTTGCTCCAGACAACTTTATAAGATATGAAACAAAACAGGGCCTTCTACTATTCTATTGTTATGCACTGGGAGACTTGTTCTAAACTTGGGTCTTCAACTTATGGCTTTTATTTTAGTTAATGGAGTCAAGATACCGCACATTCAACTATTTTAAATCTATCTGGAATTTTGACTGATTGTTCTTGCAGCATACCTGAAAGCATTGGAAGAGAACACCGTGTTTTTGTTTTTGTTTTTTTTCCAATTTTCCCGCCATTCTTGATTTGTCACATAAGTAATAGTAATTAATTACTCTGCTTTGATATTAGAAAATAATTACATCATTGCATTTAAATAAAGCAAACCATCACAAAGGGAATTGTAACATACTGAAACTATAGGAAAGAAAAATAATAAAACTTGAATAGATATCTTGCCTAGAACAACTCAATTTTATAAAGTTGGCAAAAAAACAATGTTTAAAGAACATATAGAGTAGACGTCATTTTTGGTTCAACACAAATAGGTCATTGATCTGGCAAACAGCATTGAAGAAATTAATTACAGTTCAGTCATTAATATATTCATTCACAGAAGAACTCCTTGGTGAGTTAGAGAAAATACTTTTATCCTGCTTGTTTTGTATAATGTGCCACTATATGTGATATATGTGGATTTGTTTTCCAAGTTCTCTTACTTCCACTAATGGTGCATCTCTTGAAGTATGTTTCAGCCTTCCTTATCTCCCGTCCTGGACAGCCTTATGCATGGGAGAGGCCAATAAGTTTTTACCCTTTCCAACTTGCACAATGCTTCTTTGGATCAGAATATTTGAAGCAAATTTCTTACCGTGTCATTTACTTGCTGAAAAATCTTCACTAGATTTTTGACTCAACAAAATGATACAAAAACTCAATAGCCTGTAATTTAGAACCCTCTGTGATCTGATCTTGACATTATATAAACCTCATTTCATATCCTGCTCTTTATGTCCCTAGGACCAAAACTGCACTATGGCAGAATTGTTCCTGACCTATCTCCACATAATCTACTTCAACTTAACTAGTTTACCAGCTTCAATCAAACCATGCTCTCCATTCTTCTCTCTACAATATTTGCCCGACATTCATCATGTGTTCCTCACACACTGGTAGGCTAGTTGCTATTTATAGTCCCATTTCATCAGTCAGTTAAACAATATGATTACCCAAGAGAGGTTATAACCAAGTATATTTATACAAATTGCTATTATTATAATTATCAAAATTAATTAAATAATAACCAACTGATAAATACAAGTTGAAGATAATTTTTTTCCTATAAAAAGTAAGTTAGATATTTTGGAAATAAACCCAAGTCCCTAAAAATACTGCTGTCATACATATCGGTTGTGACAATACAGCTGTAAAACACTGGGGGAAGACCATAGAAAACTAGAAAGATTCTGCATTTATATTTCTAGTCAAAAATCTTCAAGTTTCACTTCATTTTAAAGAAATTGAAAGTGGGATTCCAAGGTCATGCATTTTGGGTGTGGTTTGTGCAAGGAAGGTGACAATTTAGAGAATGATATGCTACAGTAGTAATGGTAATACTTCTTTGGAAAACAAATTATCGAAAATGCAGACATCATTTATGTAAGGACAGAAACAAATCTAAATATGATGCAGAGAAGATTGTAGCAAATCCATTATTTAACAAATACTTGTTTCTTCCCTTAATTATGAACATTTTCAAACATTTATAGTATGCATGGTCATTTTTATTGGTGTATAATTTACATTCAGAGAAGTGGAAATATTATAAGCTTTATGAATTTCCATAAACTGTACACATCTTTGTAACCAGAAAGAGAGGATTACCAGTCATCCAGAAGGTCCCTCCTGTGCCTCCTTTCTGTCACTGCCCCCTCTTCTTGCATGGGCCACTATTTTATTTAACAGCATAAATTAGCTTTGCTTCTTTTTATAATATGTATACATTGTGTATATTATTTTGTATTTGGCTTCTTTCTCATAACATTATACTTATGAAATGTTTGCTTCATGTAACTATAAAGCATCCAGTTTCATGGCAGCAAAGTATTCTTTGAATCCTCTTAGAGCAAATATCATTCACAACTTACTAAAATAAAAGGGCTTTTCCTTCTTCTTATATATGCCAATTTTGGATTGTGTCACTCAGTTCCATATACCTGGACTACTCTTGCTCTTTTTTTATCCCCAATCTATTGTAAAAAGGTAATTTGTACAAAGCTATAAGTGTGTCCCTCATATAAATATAAAATGTGCCATAGATTCATGCAACTTATTAATAAGGGCAACAACAAGATGGTGAAGCTAATTCAAAGAGCGTTTGAAGAACCAAATATGTACAGAGATTAAAGGAAAAAACGTTAGAACAAGATTGCTAGGTGAGATTAAAACCTGGAAATGCTTTTACAGGATAAACATCAATCTGCAAATTAACATGTAACTTCAAAGTCTGGTATCTAAATAATAATAAATGATATGTCAAACAAAATTGTATCCTCCTAGAGATTAAGATAATAAATAATTCTTGGGTGAGCCTGCTGCACATTTTTTCAGCATAACCCTGAAGGGACACACAGATGCCATTTTGCCTTATTTCTTATCCCTCGAGGTCAATGTTCATGCCACTTCCCCTCTGAAGTCTTTCTGATCTCCTAGCTGGAAGTCATCTCTCTGGCCAAAGAGCACTGGTAGTACGTGGAGTATGTACAATATGAAGTTTGTGAATGAATAATGGTAATCTGCCACTCTAGGGTTATATCACTCCTTGAGCAGAAAGGGCTAATTAAGAACATGATTAAATTTTAAATTATAGCTGAAGAAATTGCACTGTAGAAAAGAGATAAATTAGAACACATCATGGTGTGGTTAGCACGTATATGTTCTTAAAAAGAGCAAATATGCTTTGAGAAATAATTGATTTATAAATAATCTGCTTTTCAACTTCCTTTTGCCCTTTCTGTAAGCTCTGCACTATAGAAACATTCTCTCTGTAATCCGCCACTTCATTCTAGTCTTGTTAAGCAAAACTACAGGAATCATCTATCTCAAGCTCCATTTTAGCCATCTTTTTTCCTCATCAGAGCTTGGAGACGCTGTTTGGAAACTCATGTTCAATCACGGACTTTTTCTGGCCACCATTTTCTTGTTTAGCTCTGTGACCCTCCATGCTACTTTTCCTATTAATTGCCATCAGGTGCTTGCTACTCACTTCATTGGACTTGTTGGACTTTTATTTCTTATTCTATCCCTTTCAGTCTTTACGAAAACATTCTCTTCAGCAGAGCTTGTTAAACATTATTCTTTTTTCTTTAGCTTCTCTGGCTCATGTTATTTAAGGGAGAATTTGCATAATGCATCTGTACGTCGAGTTTGATCAGACTTTGCTTTGCTTGTTTTCTCAACTCCTCCCAAGTAGCTAAAACGTTGATCTTGCTAAGATGGTTTTGAATTAAGTTATGTATACTCTTGGCCAGACCTCCTTTTCTTACTTCCAACTGGAGTGGATAATGTAAGGTAAGAGGTAGGACGATACAGTGTAAAACTTACCTCTTTTTCTGGGAACTCTCAACTGAAGTATAAAAGGTAATTGACAAAAAATCTTAAATTCCTTTTTTATGAAATTCTAGGAAAATAACATCTTGGCAATAGCTGAAATATGTGTTCTTTAGCTGTGTGTGGCTATTTGAATTAAAATGTAAATTTAAATGCATTAAAAGTAAATAAAATTTGGTCCGGCGCAGTGGCTCACACCTGTAATCCCAGCACTTTGGGAGGCCGAGGTGGGCAGTTCATGAGGACAACAGATTGAGACCATCCTGCCCAACATGGTGAAACCCCGTCTCTACTAAAAATATAAAAATTAGCTGGGTGTGGTGGTGTGCGCCTTTAGTCCCAGCTACTCAGGAGGCTGACGCAGGAGAATTGCTTGAACCGGGAGGCAGAGGTTGCAGTGAGCTGAGATCGTGCCACTGCACTCCAGCCTGGCGACAGAGCGAGACTCTGTCTCAAATAAATAAATAAATAAATAAATAAAAGTAAATAAAATTCAAAATTCATTTCATCAATCACTTTAGCCGTATTTCTAGTGCTCAATAGCCACATATAGTTACTATGTTGAACACTGAAAATATAGAACATTTCTATCATCATAGGAAGTTCTGTTGGACAGAGTTAACCCAAAGTACGTGGTAGCTATTGAATGCAAATGTGCAGACTAGTGACTTCTGTTTCATTTTCAGCTAAAGTGCTTCTTCCTTTCACAGAATTTTACTTACCTGACTCCACTAAGGATTGGTACTATCTAAGGGGCTTCTAAATGAGTTGGAAGACACAGAGCCCAGTGAAATTTTCAAGTGTGCAGATGAAACTAAGCTCTTCTGGGAGTGGAAATGCCAAATTGAAAAACTACGCCTGAAGGCTTTATGAGGGGGCAGACATGCATCAGATGAGCTTCTTTTCAAGCAAGTACAATGTGGCAAAGTTAGGTGGAAATGATTGCAGCCTTATGGGATACTGGATTTGGTTTTTCTGGTTAACAATTGATAGAACAATATCAAGTTCATTACGTAGTATTTCCTAAAATACAAAATTTTGTTATCGCTCAAAGTAGTAAAAATAAATTTGAGTGAAATGATGCAGTTATTTTCTACTTGGGTGTGATATTTAATGCATAAGTATCTGTGCAAGTAACACCTAACATAGGTGGATGTTTTAACTTGTTTTAATAAGTTAGTATTAACTTCCAAAATAGAAGTGGAAGAAAAGGCAAAACGTATAAGCATAAAGGAGTGAGGAGTGTTGTTTGAAAGAAAAATAATAGTTGTTTGTGGTTGAAGCAAAAGTCCAGGGCATGATATAGTTTTAGAAATGAGTGCCAAGCCTTATTGCAAAAGTCCTGGTAAAATGCGTATCGAATAGGTGAAGAAAACCACCAAAATAAGTTATTCAAACAGCAGAAGAATAACATAATCTAATGAGTATTTTAGAAAGATAAACGATATAGTTTGGATCTTTGTCCTCTCCAAATCTCATGTTGAAATGTGATCCCCAGTGTTGGAGGTGGGGCCTGGTGGAAGGTGTTTGGGTCATGGGGGCAGATCCTTCATGAATGGGTTGATGCTCACTCCATGGTAATGAGTGAGTTCCCACTCTCTTAGTTCACATGAGAGCTAGCTATAAAAGGAATCTGGCTCTTCCTCCTCTCTGTCGTACTCCCTCTCTCGCCACATGACATGCCTGCTCCTGCTTCACCTTCCACCATGATTGTAAGTTTCCTGAGGCTCACCAGAAGCCAGGCAGATGCTGGTGCCATGACCTGCAGAACTGTGAACCAAATAAACATTGTTTCTTTATAAATTACCCAGCCTTAGGTATTCGTTTATAGCAATGCAAAACAGACAGATATAGGAACTCTAGCAGCAACGTAGATTAATAGTTCTAAAAGGGGGTGCTTTTGTTTCCCAGGGGACAGTTGACCATTTCTGGAGTAGCATTGGTTGTCATGAGAGATTAGGGGTCAGGGAGCCAATGGTATCTACTAGGTAGAGTTTAGGGGTGCTTCTAAACTTCTTATAATGTAAAAGAAAATTCCCACAGCAAAGAAATATTCAGTCCCAAATGTTGATGTTGCCAAGGTTGAAAAACCTTGATGCAGACAATAAATTTAAGAAAGGACATGCCTTAAATAATAAAATCATTTAGGATACTGATACAAAAATAAATTTAAGAAATGATGAGAGGAATGATGTTATATTAATATGTTTACTGTTCTTAAATTTATAAAGACAGAATATTGACAAGGAGGAATATAGAGGTAATCCAAGTTTCTAAATAGAATGAAAAGAAACCCATTCCCTATTTGTATGTTTTGTACAACTTATACAATTATTTACTCATAAATTTATATAAACAAAAGAAAATTCCAGAAGGATATATACTGCATTGCAAGTAAAATTAATGGGAAAATATATAAAGTAACATAGCTGGGACTTTTTTATTATACAGAGAAAAGGGGGAAATTCCATAATTTTCTAGAGAGAATATAGAGTTGCTGAAAAGTGCAGAAGAAATTCTCCCATATAACATTAAATTCCATTGGAACTTTAGGGGGAAATGGTCAACCAGCATTTCATGGCAAAACAAGATGTCTTTTGTGGGCAAAGGCAGTAGAAATACTTGCAAATTTCACGATGCTCAAAATATACATGAACATCCTACAGTTATTGTAAAGATTACTTAAAGATGTTAAACATGGTAAATCATAAAATTTAAAGAAATTAGTGTGTAAAAGTTCTCTTTTGCTATTTGGTAAATTCAGGAATAAAATTAGATCTTTTCTTTTGGCCATGTAAACTGTAAATTCTGTACAAAATTTGACCCTGCTATTATTACCTCATCTATATATTGTGTTTCCTTCTACTTTCCAGAGGTCAGCACATCCTGCACTTTATATAAGATCTCTTTTTCAGTTTGGTTACTTAAAATGATAATTGTTCCTATTCTGTTGGAATGCTTACTAAAAATGGCTAGGCAATTGACTAGTTG
This sequence comes from Homo sapiens, assembly GCF_000001405.40. Lineage (NCBI taxonomy): Eukaryota > Metazoa > Chordata > Mammalia > Primates > Hominidae > Homo > Homo sapiens. The sequence continues at coordinate 164,716,223 of NC_000005.10, forward strand.
GGTCATTGCCTGGTATAATTGCCCAGCAAAGTTTCATTATATATTGTTTCTATATTCTTGTCTTCATAAAATAAGATTCCCACAAAGAAATATTGCAGCAATTATAATTAAACTTAGGCAGTGCACTTGTGTATATTTAAAAAAAAGTCTCTGAATTTTATTCAATTATGAAAGATGAATAAAAAATTATCTCCCTTCAAGTTCTACTTAATTTAATAATTCCTGTTCCTTTTCTGGAAACAACAACAAAAAATTCTTGTATAAGGCTCCTCCAGAGGTTTCACAAAAATTATAATGAAAACCTTTAAATATGATATGGAAGAGACAGTGAAGCATTTAAAATATATATGGAAAAGCCACTGGCATTTATTATAAGTTTTTAAAACCTGAATTATTTTTTATTTATTTGGAGTACTTCATGAGATTTTGGCAGAATTTTTTAACATATATATTCTGGAATTTTCAGTTACTTTACATAAATGATGATTAAAGTCACTTTGAAATATTTTCTAAAAAGAATTGCACATACAAACTTGGGAAACAAATAAAGCTATATCCCTGTGCATTGAGTCAAGAATACAGAATCTATCCTAGGTTTTTCAAACAATTAATTTTTTTTTTTTTTTTGAGATAAAGTCTCACTTTGTCTCACAGACTGGAGTGCAATGGCGCAATCTTGGCTCACTACAACCTCTGCCTCCCAGGTTCAAACAATTCTCCTGTCTCAGCCTCCCGAATAGCTGGGATTATAGGTGCCCACCACCACGCCGGGTAATTTTTGTATTTTAGTAGAGATGGGGTTTCACCATGTTGGCCAGGCTGGTCTCGAACTCCTGACCTTGTGATCCACCCTCCTCGGCCTCCCAAAGTGCTGGGGTTACAGGCATGAGCCACTGCACCTTGTCGAGTTAATTTTTTAATAGTCAATATGTTTTAGGGATTCAGGCTTGCTTTTCTTGTTTGTTTTAATGGTCAAGAAAGACGCTTAGAACACTTACTTTCAATTTTTCCAGGCAAAAATTACCCCAGCTATGCACTACAGCAAAGTCACTAGTATATCTTGGTCTCAGGTAGGCCAAAAACATATTTAAAAGCTTTCTATTGAAGTAAAATATGTGTACAAAACTGCACATGTAGGAGTACAATCTGATAAATTTTCATTAACTGATTATTGATTATGCCAGTGTAACTAGCATCCAGATCAAGAAATCATCACCAGTACCCCAGTAAAACCTCTTCAATTTTCCCCAAAGTTAGTCCATTATCCTAAAATCTTAAATAATAGAATACTTTTTTATATTATTTTATATAAAAATTGCATAATACAGCATGTTCAATTCTGTCTGACTTTAGCTCAACAGTGTTTGTGGAATTCATTCCTATTGTTATCTGTATTTGTAGACAGTGATTACCATTGTGGTACAGTAATCATTATGTGAAATACCTCAATTTATCCTATCGTTGGTGGAGATTTGAGTGATATTTAGGTTTTAGCTATTACAAATTAGTAATATTTTATTGTATTACATGATTTTTTGGTAAACATTGGAACACATTTCTGATAAAAATATACCTAAAAATTAAATTCTTGGATCATAGAGATTTTGTATGTTCACATTCAGTAGAAACAGCCAAATCGGTTCCCAAAGGCTGTACCAATTTTCCATGGCTTCCAGCTCTGTTTAAGAACTTCAGTTGCTCAACATCCTCCCCAGCACTCGATAGTCCTGTCTTTCTCATTGGCCACTCTGACGATTACTTAGTGGTATTTCATTTTGATCGTAATTTGTGTTTTCCTGATGTCTTTTCATATGTTTTATTAGAAATTTGGATATCCTCAGAGAGAGGATATTAATGCAGAAAAATGTTTACAAAAGTGATAGATGGGCAGAAAAGGGGAAGAACAGTTGTTATGCAAGACCAGGACAGTGTCCCTACCTGTGTTCTGGGATGCATTTCTAGCTAAGCTGCTGTGGTGCATTGCTTCATTTTTTTTTTCAACTTTTGTTTTAAGTTCAGGGATACATATGCAGGACACTCAGGTTTGTTACACAGGTAAATGTGTGCCATTGTGGTTTACGGCAAAGATCATCCCATCACCTAAATATAAAGCTCGGCTTAATATTTAGCTGGGCTTAATATTTAGCTATTCTTCCTGATGCTCTCCCTCCTCCCACTCCTCACCCTCCAACAAGCCCCAGTGTATGTTGTTCCCCCCATGTTTCCACATGTTCTCATCATTCAGCTCCCACTTATAAGTGAGCAAATGCAGTGTTTGGTTTTCTGTTCCTCCATTAGTTTGCTGAGGATAAAGGCATCCAACTCCATCCATGTCCCTGCAAAGGACATGATCTCATTCTGTTTTATGGCTGCATAGTATTCCATGGTGTATATGTACCGCATTTTCCTTATCAGTCGATCATTGATGGGCATTTAGGATGATTCCATGTCTTTGCTATTGTGAATAGTGTTGCAATAAACATATGTGTGCATGTATCTTTATAACAGAATGATTTATATTCCTTTGGGTATATGTCCAGTAATGGGATTGCTGGGTCAAATGGTATTTCTGTCTGTACATTTTTGAGGAATTGCCATACTGTCTTCCACAGTGGTTGAACTAATTTACACTCCCACCAACAGTGTAAAAGTATTCCCTTTTCTCCACAACTTCACCAGCATCTGTTGTTTATAGAGTGCACTGCTTCTGAAATGAGGCTGCCTTAACCACTGCTGTTGGGACCTGAAAATGCTGGAGGCTATGCTTTCCTGGTAATTGCCTTTCTGCTAAGTTGAGAGTTGAATACAGAATGCCTCCTGCTTGTGCCTCCTCCCATTGGCTCCCATTTGTAGAACTAATTATGAAAACAAGTCAAGAAATTCTAGGAAATGTCATTTTTAGACTTCCAGGATGCCTTTCCTCCCCTCCACTCCCATTGAAAATAAAAGCTTGGAAGGTCAGAAAACAAGTTATATACCAATTGCCTCCATCTGCCCCAGTGCGCTGCACCTTAGCTTTCTAAATATCAAGGAGTAAGGAGGGACATAAGAGCTATGGCCATATAAATCTGCATATATGTCTATCAACATTTTCAGGCAACTGGTTAATCAGTTGTGTATTTGACAAAGTGTCTAGAAAAATAAAAAGTAAAGTACTTGCTCTCATGATTCTTATAACTTCTTAGTTATAAGAAATTAGCCATTATTAACTTTATTCACTAAGAATAAAGAAAAGTATACGTGAAACATCAGTTAATAATACAGAAAATTGGGAGGCTGAATTGTCACAATAGACAATGAGTCTTAACTGATTTTTCCAAGATCAGGAGAGGAAAAATGACAGCGAATGTGGTTGAATGTGAAATGGGGGTGAGCTTTTTCCTAAAGGGCAGATAATGAGGAGGAGGGAAGAAGAAAACACATTCTGGTCAAAAGAAGCAATATGAGTAGAATAAATAACATAGGATTCAGCAGTGGCATCTTTATAAAATATTAAGATTCTGCCTTACCTTACCTTAAAGTGGGCTTTGGAAGAAGATAGCAGAATCAATTATAATTTTATAACAAGATTCCTGTCAATTTGGAAATCTGGAAATCATGTCAGGAAGAATAAGGAAACTAAGATATTTAGCTCAGAGAAGAGAAACCTAAATGCAATATCTATTAAGTATCATGTTGAAGAAGGCACAAATTTGTTTTGATTGTTCGAAAAGGAACAAAAATGGCCGGGTGCAGTGGCTCACGCCTGTAATCCCAGCACTTTGGGAGGCCAAGGCGGGCGGATCATGAGGTCAGGAGATCAAGACCATCCTGGCTAACACGGTGAAACACCATCTCTACTAAAAAAATACAAATCAATTAGCCAGGCATGGTGGTGGGCACCTGTAGTCCCAGCTACTGGGGAGGCTGAGGCAGGAGAATGGCGTGAACCCGGGAGGCAGAGTTTGCAGTGAGCCAAGATCACACCACTGCACCACTCCAGCCTGGGCGACAGAGCGAGACTCAGTCTCAAAAAAAAAAAAAAAAAAAAAAGGAACAAAAGTTAGAGGCATTCAGCAGCTATAAATTCAGTGAAAAACATTTGTTTAAAATCAATGGTTATCTTACAGTGAAACACACTAGCTCATGTAGATATGATGTCTATAGCCATAAATCATTCTCATAGAAGTTAAATGGCCAACTATATCACAGAAGGGATTTCCGCAATCAAAACAAAGAAGATGACCCAAATATTTCTTTAATCTAAAGAATAATTTGGGATAGATATGGTAGCATTTATCAGGGAACATGAAAGCCAATTAGTTTAGATTTTAGTAACTGATGAATACAATTAGTTCTTCTTACATTCCTGCTCAGTGCCAGATACTGTCTAGTGAAATGGTGAATGATATAATTCACTATAATAACCAATTCACTAGAGGAAACCGGGAAAGAAAAAACAAACTCTAGACTTAGAAGATGCTCCACGAAAAAACAAGTCCAAGGTGAAATAGTGTTAAGAAAGTCTACATCTACTTACCTTTTTAATAATCATTATTATTTACAGAATATGAAACAGTTTCATGGCTCTGCTATGTCCTTAAGTAAATATACTTGCTTAACCTCTGAATCATCGAGCACCTTCCAAATTTGTCTCAAAAAATCATTTTTTTAATCCCCAGAAAACGATTATATCAACATTCTGCAACTGGTACTTGCATACAACTAATTTTTAAAATATACATTGTCATTGTAATCACAATTATTGCCTACAGGAACTTATAGTCTATTAAGGGAAATAGACGGTTATAATACCATATGCAAAGCCATGCTATGGGAGTGAATGCAAGTGCTATAGAAACACACACCTAACTCATCCTTGGGGTGAGGGCTGGGGCAGGAAAATTCTGGGAGAAGGTTTAATAAAGTAACTCCTGAGTATCCTATAGGTCTGATAATCTAACTAATAAATTAGCCAAACCTATAGGATACTCAGGAATTACTGAGAAAAAGGGAAGGAAAGAAAGTTCTAGACTTGATATTTAAAGTACATTAAGACAGACTTGTTCTGCATCTCAGATTTCATTGCAGGGTCACTACAAAGGTCACTGAAACACACAATTATGCAATCTTAGGTGCAGGAAATAAACATAGAGATCCTCTAGTCCAGACACCTTTTATATAATAGCCTAAAGGGAGGCCATCTAACCTCTGTTTAAATGTTTTTAGTCACTGGAATCTATCTCATGAAGCATTTTCCCCCTTATATTAAAATGAAATCACCCTTCCTATAACTTTTACCTGCCCCAGTCTGCATTCTTGAGCTGCACCAAAGAACCTGGACTTCATTACTTTGGGGATATCGAAGTCATTTTCTATCGGTGATGGAACTTAAAATCAGGTCTATTTAATAGAGTTTTCAGTTACTCTGTCCATTCATTTTCAACCAGACATTTCGCTGCTTTTAACATGTAAAATATATCTGCACATCTTAAAGTTTTCTTAAAACTACAATATAAATACTGAGTTTTATATAACTTTTTATTTATCAAGGGAGTATTTTGGAAATTTGGTTTTGGCATCTTTTTGTAAAAATGTTAGTTCTTAGGAACATTTTCATAATTCAGCAGGGTCTACAATGTTAATGGACCTGAGCAGCAGGATCCTTGGACCACATACTATAAATACTCCTCAGAGTGCTTATAATTTCAATTCCAGAGCCTAATGCTGGCTGTAATTCATTTGTTTTTCTTCTCTTATTGAAAGTGATTCCCAGCAGCCTTCTGATTTTGGAAATCTATTACTTTTGCTCAATTCTAAGTTCATAGTCCAAATTTAAATTAAAGTATGGTAGTAGAAAAAACATGGTAGGAATTCAAAAAAGTAATGGTGAAGAAATAAATATTTTCTATGAGCAAAAGATTCTTTTAAAAACATTTAAATCACTCAGGGAAAAATTAGAAGTCTTTTTCTTCAGTTTCAATTTGGGCTTCCAGTGCTCAGAATACTAAAACATAAGAAAAATATGTTCTTCTCTTGATTAAAAATAAATAGTTGCAAATTACTCAATAGCTTCACATTTCAATTTAAACATAAGATACATGAAATGCAACTTGATGTTCTATGTGTGTGTATTTAGTTGGCACTGCAAAATGAACATGGATACAATTTTTAAAACACTAACTAAAATTACATTGTACTAGCCTTAAACATAATTAGAATTTTAGATTGGATATATCTCACTTCAAGTAAATTTTGTGATTTTATAAGTGAGAAAACGGAGGCCAGTAAAGTTAAATGATTTATATTAGAAGTAGAGAACCACTGACAATTTTCATGTTCTACAGAATGCTTTTTTACTTGGTAATAGAACAGCAGTCTTACAATAAATGTAGAAGTATTTTGACTATTTATATAGTGACAGTAGTCTTATTTGAATAAATACGTTAAGTTCAAGAAAAGGGAGGAATCTAAATTTGAAAAATGAAACTTCTTAAATAGCATATGATGTAATGTTCATTATTTTTAATTTTCATGTTTTTTTTTTTTTTTACCCCCACCAGGGAAATCATCTTTCGGGAATTTATCTAAGAAGAACTTCTTATGGTAAGAATGTTTAATAAAATAACATTTTATAAAAATAATCACATAGCTTTATTGCATGATATCTTTATTTTCAAATAGAATTTCCAATATACACAGAGCTGAGAAAAATATGCACACTATTCTATTTATGTGATATATCAAATAACAGATACTGAAATGAGTCACTAAGTATCTGCTATTTATTTTCACTGAGATTTGAATGTCTGATAATAGATGAAAATGTTACTTCTTTAAGTAATAATGGTGCCCTTCAATGGGCAAATGAAAAATAATTTAAAGGATTAAAGGAAGAGACCTCTGAACTCTGGAAGTTCCCCTGACTTCCCCACCAAAGTAGACTGCTCATTTTTTTTTTTTTTTTTTTTTTTGAGACCCAGTCTCACTCTGTTGCCCAGGCTGGAGTGCAGTGGTGTGATCTTGGCTCACTGCAACTTCTGCCTCCTGGGTTCAAGTGATTCTCGCATCTCAGCCTCCCGAGTAGCTGGGACTACAGGCATGAGCCACCACGCCCGGCTAATTTTTGTATTTTTAGTGTAGACGGGATTTTACCATGTTGGCCAGGCTGGTCTCAAATTCCTGACCTCAGGTGATCCACTCGCCTCAGCCTCCCAAAGGGCTGGGATTACAGATGTGAGCCAACATGCCCCGCCAGATTGGTCATCTTCTGTAGCACTCTTTTTCCCCCTACTAACCTGTTTTACTTTTAGAACACATGTTATTAAAATATTTGTCATCATACAAAATATTTATTTTGTATTTATACCTCTGTTGCCCATTTTTCCCACTAGAACGTAACATGTAGGGGAGCCAGATGCTTGCTTATTGGCAAATGGCTGGCCCATAGACATTTGTTAAATGGCTGCATTAAGGATCAATGAAATGATCACCTATGATGTACCAGCCACTAAATCAGGTTGCTTCACTGGCAACATTTCCATTTATCCTCACAGTAAACCTAAGAGGTAGATATCGGCTTCATTTTACAGATAAGGAAACAGATTCAGAGCAGAAAAATTACTTGCTCCAAATTATGTAATTATTAAGAAGATGCTGGAACTTGAATTCTTGTTTAGCAATTTCAAATACTAAAACCTTTTTTTTTTAGAGCAAATATCCTAAAATTCAGATTGTTAAAATGACGTGAAGAAAAAATGAACAGGAAACTGATGCAGAGGCCACAAAGAATATTCAAACACAAATTTTCCATTTTCAAAAAATGACACTGCTCCAGGACCCTGTGGATATGAGGCTGGATAATTGATTCTCTACTTCCAACTTACTCATGTGCATTTGATACCTCTAACAAAAGGAGTAAATTTTTCACAATTCAATATGACCTACTTTTAATTATTTAGGTGTTTATTAACAGTTTTGAATCAACGTTTGTCATGTAAATATATAATCAGAAACATCAAGTCTGACAGGGCAAAGGTAAAGAAAAATATATATTTTAATTCTTAAAAGAGTCAGTTCTTAGGTTTTCACACTCTTAATTGGAGATCATATTACCTATATTTTAGGAATTACATTTTTTTTTTTTTTTTTTTTGAGACGGAGTCTCACTCTTTCGCCCAGGCTGGAGTTCAGTGGTGCTATCTCGGCTCACTGCAAGCTCCGCCTCCCGGATTCACGCCATTCTCCTGCCTCAGCCTCCCAAGTAGCTGGGACTACAGGCGCCCGCCACTGCGTCCAGCTAATTTTTTGCATTTTTAGTAGAGACGGGGTTTCACCGTGCTAGCCAGGATGGTCTCGATCTCCTGACCTCATGATCCGCCTGCCTCGGCCTCCCAAAGTGCTGGGATTACAGGCGTGAGCCACCGCACCAGGCCAGGAATTACATTATTTTTTATTAAACTTTTTATTTTGAGATTATTATTGATTCACATGCAGTTGTAAGAAATTAATACGGAGAAACTCCAGTGCCTTTTACCTGGTTTCTCCCAATGTAACGTATTGGAAATTTATGCTATAAAATGAAAACCAGGCTATTGACATTGATACACTTAATATAAAGAACATTTTCGTCACACATGATTCCCTCCCACTGCTCTTTCATAGCCATACCTATGTTCCTATTCCCCTTAACTCCTAGTAATTACTAATCTGTTCTTCCTTTCTAACATACTGTCATTTCAAGAAAATTATATAAATGGAATCATGCGGTATGTTCATGAACAAGATTGGCTTTTCACTCAATATGATTCCTTGAAGATCTACACCAACAGTCATTGTATAAATAGTTCATTAATTTTTGTTGCTGACTAGTATTTTTTGGTATAGATGGACCTCAGTTAGTTTAACCATTTACCCATTTAAAGACATCTAGGTTGGCCAGGCACAGTGGCTCACACCTGTAATCCCAGCATTTTGGGAGGCTGAGAAGGGCAGATTGCCTGAGCTCAGGAGTTTGAGACCAGCCTGGGCAACATGGCAAAAATACATGTACTAAAAATACAAATTAGCCAGGCATGGTGGTGCATGCCTGTAATCCCAGCTACTCAGGAGGCTGATTAAGGAGAATTGCTTGAACCTGGGAGGCAGACATTGCAGTGAGCCAAGATCATGCCATTGCACTCCAGCCTGGGCAACAGAGCAAGACTCTGTCTCAAAATAAATAAAGACATCTAGGTTGTTGTCAGTCTTTGGTTATTGTAAATAAAACTGCTCCATTCATAAAACTGAACATCTATGTACAGGGTTTTTTTTGTGAACTTAAGTTTTCATTTCTCTGGGAAATGTAAAGTACCATTATATATTTTTTAAATTAGAAAAACAAAAATGTTTTTAAATATTATTCACTGGGGGCCCTCAATCACAAGAGTAATTGAATCAAAACAAGAAGAAAACTTAAGTTAAAAGGAAGTTAAGTAACTTTTTAATTGATGCATATAAGCATCCTTACTATCATTATTTTCATTATGGCTGGTATATCTCTGAAATTGATAGCCTCATCTTATTTATCTAAGAAATGTCCACTTTTCTCATTATGCTGTCTTCTTCTGCAATATTTTTTTCTTCTTATAAGGACTACATTCATACATTCCTTTGAATTTTTACTCAAAAATTTTATGTGCTAAGCATTAACTGTTGGCTTATTTTGCCGCTGATACATATTGCAGGCAGTACCAGGTTTATATTCATAGATGAACTTCTAAATGATCAGAGCTGCAATATCTCCCTTAAGAACTAAGGACACTCTCCTAATTTGCTACGGCATGACATGACAAAGTGTCAGGGTGTGTTTTATAGCATTTATTAATAAGCTGCATTTCTCTCATGAGGTGTATTTGCTGGCCTGGCAACTTGCCTCTACTCATCTAAACTTGAACTCTAAGGAAAACAGCATTCTGCCAAATAACCATAGGGAAAGAGAGTGGGTTGTTTTGTTTTGTTTTGAGACGGAGTCTCGCTGTTGTCACCCAGGCTGGAGTGCAATGGAACGATCTCAGACACCGCAACCTCTGCCTCCTGGGTTCAAGCAATTCTCCTGCCTCAACCTCCTGGGTAGCTGGGATTACAGGCACCCACCACCATGCCCACCTAATTTTTGTACTTTTAGTAGAGATGGAGTTTCTCCATGTTGGCCAGGCTGGTCTTGAACTCCTGACCTTAGGTAATCTGCCCACCTTGGCCTCCCAAAGTGCTGGGATTATAGGTGTGAGCCACTGTGCCTGGCCAGGCAAGAGAGTAGTGTTCTAAATAAACCAAAAGAATAATTACATATATACACAGACATGAAGAGCTGTGTGTGTACATGTATTTATGTCTGTGTGTGTGTGTATATATATCTATATATATATAAAACTGTATGTATGTGTATATATGTACCAGCCATAAAATACTGCTCTATCATAGAAATTCCATGCTATTGATGGCTAAGACTAGGAGACTAAAAGAAAAGACTATATGTGTTGAGTCTTGTAAGAATTGCTAAAATTGTACATGTCTTATTTATATCCAAAGATAAATTGGAAATAGACCATAATATATACACATACCAATTATAGTAGAAAAAACTTAAATATCTCTCTACCAAATTCTGAAATTTAGATAAAATTCAGAAGTTTCCATACTGCTTGCTATTTTTATACTTATTGGAATCAAGTCAGACAAAAATAAGGATTTATTCATACATTTAAGAAATATTCATCTTTCGCTTTCTTTGTGATGGCTCTGATCTAAGCGGTGGAAATCAAAGAGAATGAAGTCATTGCTAATACAGCTCATAGTCCAGTGGGGGAAGTTAATCCATGCACAGGTAAATAAATTAAAAATTGCGAAATATTTTGCTGTGAAGAAAGTGAAATAGTGATAGGATAGAGTGGTTAACAGAACAGGGTGGTGTCTACATTAGCTAGAGTGGCCAGAGAAATCTTCCCAAGGGGCCATATATGAGCAGAGACATGAATGCTGAGCTGGAGCCAGCAATGCAAAAACATCCCAGGAACTAGAATATTCCAGGCAGAAGCAACAGCAAATGCAAAGACTCTCAGACGGAAAGGAGCTAGGACTTTGAAAGACTGGAAAATCTCAATCTGTCTGTCTTAGAAATGAATTGTTTGAATCCCTGACTTTGTGGAGCCAGAGCCTTGCTGGACAGCACTGGCCACCCCACCACTTCGAAATCATTTACTAAATGAACAATGAGAATAGTGTCATAGCAGGAAGAAGATAGCATATATTAAAGAATGACCAAGAAATCAGCAACTGGAAGAACAGAAAACTTGGAGCGCCAAGTGGATGTAAACAGAGAAGCAAGGAAAGTTTGATGTAGGTGAGGGAACTGTTTGGATTTTAGTCTGACTGAACAGTTCAAGGAATAGTAATGGGCTAGTGTGACTGGAGGAATAGGCAAAGGGGAGGCTTATAGGAGAAGAGGTCTTAAGATAAGCCACAGAACCAGACATGGAAAGGATTTAGGGTTTTATTGCTTAATTTAGGTAAACTGCTTTTGTTAGTGAATCATAATGGCTGCAAATATGGACTCTTAAGCCAGGACCCCTAAGATTGAATCTTATTACAACCACTTACCAGCCAGTAACCTTTTTACTGTCATTGTTTAATTTTTGCTTCCTAGTCTGTAAAATGGTACTAATGTTACTGAAACACCAGGGGTTTTGTCTAGGTCCTGCTACTTGCTGCACAGAAAGCCAATGACTGAGACAATGAGTATTGCCAAGGAAGAAGCTTTAATCAGGTGCTAAACCAAAGCGATGGGAGATGATTCTCAAATCCATCTCCTGGACTGACTAAAACTAGAAATTTATATAGCAAGGAAGAAATGCAGCAAATGTGTAAAACAAAACAAAACAAAACAAAAAAGACAAAAAAAAAAAAAACAACAGGAATTAGGGAAAGGCAAGGAAGCAATCATGATGAATGAGGGGTCAACATTTCATTTTCTGGATGTGGTAATCTGGTGAGTTTCAATTCGTTGATACCTTTTTTCTGATGCCTGAAGGTCATTTCCTGAGGAAGAAACTAGATAAAACAAACATAAAGTTCAAGCTTTAAGACCTGAAAGGTCAATTTCCATGTTCATTCAAAAAATTATCTGTAAGACTGTTGGGTCAGCTTCAATATTTGAACTTACCTCATATGGGTCTTGGAGTGCTCAGTAAGTTAGTCTGAATAAAATGGGGAAATAGTAGAGAATTTTAAGTGTAGAGATTATAAAATGTTGCTTGAATTTTAGTGGAATTACGTTGGCTGTTTTGTTGAGAGTACACCAAAGAGTGAATGCACAGGTTGAAGTAAGGACCAGTCAGGAAGCAATTAAAGTTATCTAGAGTTTGGAGCAGGACAGTGACAGTGCAAATGGTGGAAAGTGGTCAGAATCTGGATACAATTTGAAGTTTAACCCCACATGATTAGCTTATGAATTAGATGAGGGATATAAGATGAAGGAATTAAGAATGACTCCAAGTTTTCTGGTATTAACAACCAAAAGAACAGAGCAATCTTCACTGAAATTTGGAAGACATAGATGAAGTACATTTGGTAGGAAGATCAGAAATCAGCTTTGCATGTGTTAACTTTGAGATGCCAATTAAACATCCAAGTGGAGATGTTTTCTAAGCACTTGGATATCTGAATTAAGATTTAAAGTCATAAAGCGAGGTGACGTCACCAAGGGAACAGATCAGAAATAGAAATGAAGAGATGTAAGAAATGAAGCCTGGGATACTCCAGCGAGGGTACTGAGGTAGAAAAATAACCTGAGCATTAAATGAAGAAAATGCTTTAAGAAAGAGAAAGTTGCCAAATGTCTCACCTGCTGTCCTTGGGTTGGGTAATATGAGTCCAGAGAACTGTCATTTGTGGGGATGAAAGTGGACTTACGAGAGAATGAGAAGAGGAAAATTGAAAGCAGTGTGCACCAGAAGATTGTTTCAAAGTATTTTTTCCTATAAAGGAGAGGAAATAAAGGAAGTAGTAGTTGTTGGGGGTGGCGGTTGGGAATGGGAGTAATCTGGTGGAGAGGATAAATCTGATGATAAGGGAGAACGACATCCCTCACTAGGTAAGAAGTCATGGGATCTCTAGTTCCAATGTGATGACTGTAGATGGAACTGTGGACATTTCATTTATATAATTGGGATGGAAGACAACAAAATGTCACTGGGATAAATGAAATAAGATGCATTTCATTTATATAATTGAGGTGCAGAAGTTTGTAAAACAGTAGGAGTTTTAAGAGCACCATTCTAGTTTATTTGATTTTCTCATGAAAAGAGAAATGAGGTTGTCAACTGAGTGTGAAATTGAGAGATATTGAAGGTTTGAAGAAAGGAAAAGCATCATACAGTTGTCTGTAAGGGTGGCAAACTTAACACAAGCACCAGGCCATATAAAGACATCAACTGAGGTTCCTGTCCAAGCATTTAATATGAGAGTAGTCAACATATTTTTATTTTTTAATTTTTTCCCTAGCCATATTCAGCTGCATGGGCCCAAGTGTAGAGTTGGTGGAAAATTGCATTTCACTAGATTTATGGTTTTCTCTAGTGAATATAATGAATCAAGAGACAAGAGAGCTGAGGGAGTATCCAAGTTTGTGATTATATGATTAATTGTGGAATTTAAATTGGGCAAGTATAAAATGAGGGTGAGAAAATGAATAGAAGAGCTGGTGGGATTGTATGTGTAGAAAGAACTGTTGGTGTTGAGGTCCTGAAGCAAGTAAGATGTAAAGAGAGAATTCTACAAGTGATGAGAAAGTGGGATGCTTGAAGCTGTAAATATGGAGAGGTCACTGTAACGTGTATGACCATGGGAATTGTGTCTGAGAGATGGTGGAGGACAGCATCATGGGAGGAGAAGATTCCAAAGTACTGGGAAGAGAGAAATTTGGCAGAATCATCTTGGTATAAATTGATATCACCAAGATTTAAGACTGACGTTGTCTTGGAGAGAGTAACAGTGACACAGAAACCAAACTCTTTAAGAAATGAGGAGGAGTTACTTGGGGCACAGTAGCTGATTGCAATAAGGGCTGGTTTGGGCTGGTCATTTCTTCAGTAGAGCATTGTCTAGAGGAGGCAGAGGGAAGAGTTTAGAACTGGAGATGAGGCATAAGAAGGACACGGAGTCCACTACCAGGCCCCGTGGCGTGAGAAAGAGAGAGAAAACACACGATGCTCCCCTGGGAAAGCACTGTCCTCAGAGAAGACCCAGGGTTTTTTGAGCAAGATGATGAAGAGAACATTAAAGTTTGAGGATGCTGCATGGCAAGTTCCACAGAGCACAGTGGAGGGGTTTCAGGAACTGTGGAAGACTTGCAAATGGGGACTAAACAGGGATGTGCAGCCTAAGCAGGTAAAAATGAGGAAAATGAGAGATGAAGTCAGTGGCTTCTTATGGGGATTTGAAATAGACCAGAACAAAGGATGTAGGCATAGTGGTATCATGGAGGTAGAAGTGGTGAGAGAATGTGAGTGTCTAGGGGAGCCTCTTCACTCCTTCTGAGGGAGATGTGGAGGCCAGAATTAGTTGAGTATTATACCCACATATCTCTCTCTTGACCACTATTGCTTAAGCTTTCAATACTAGGAGAACAGGGGGAATCTTACTCTAAGTGCAAAAGACTGGAAGTTTATCCTGACTTTCTAGTTCAGGAAATATTCTTTTTTATTTATTATTATTATTTGAGATGGAGCCTCACTCTGTCACCCAGGCTGGAATGCAATGGCATGGTCTCAACTCACTGCAACCTCTGCCTCCTGGTTTCAAGCAATTCTCCTGCCTCAGGCTCCTGAGTAGCTGGGATTACAGGCACATGCCACCACACCCGGCTAATTTTTGTATTTTTAGTAGAGACAGGGTTTCACTATATTGGCCAGGCCGGTCCTGAATTCCTGATCTCGTGATCTGCCTGCCTCGGCCTCCCAAAGTGCTGGGATTACAGGCGTGAGCCACCATGCCCAGCTGATTGTTTTTCTTTTTTTTTTTTTAAGTGAAATAAAAATAAATATTACTTATGATCTGACCCAGCCCAATTCCAATCATTGAGAGATGACTTGGGAAGAGATAGTGGACATACTCCCAGAGGTTCCCATCAAGTTTCATGTTGAGTAGGAATCTTGTTTAAACACCTCTCAAATTATTTGTCAGTCTTAGCTTCAAATAATAGGTGGTGATGCTCACAAGCTAGCCCTTTGGTATTGAATTTCTCCATTGACTTCATTAAGCACCACAGTTTTCCACTCTGAGATTTTCCTCACCAGGAGACTTTTCAAAATTCTTCTCCTCATCCTTTCCTCTATTCTTGGTCGCCCAGGCAGTAAAATCATAATCCTACCTTTTACAACATCACAGTCTGATAACAGCATGAACACACTCAGAGGATTCTTGCTCTCATTAAGCTTTTAATTTCTTTATTGACTTTAATTAAATTTGAGAGGCTTTTTCAATAATAAGAAAGAAACATGTTTGTATGTTGAATTAATAGCTTTGTATTAGCAAGACTGTAGATGATATTTGGAAAGAAATAAGCTTTTCTTTTATCCTAGATGCACAAATATGAAGTTCTTCATTTCTGAATTTCTTACTATTAAAGAGATGGACATTCTGCCATATGAGCCACAATAAAAATTGCATTGCTTTCTTGACAAAGTCTGAGAAGACTGTGACTCTCAGATGAAACTTTCTAAACAATATTTCAGCTGGTTTTCTTGGTATAAATTAAATTGAAGAGTGTCTATATTTTTACAATGTAATGAAGATATTTATTAATTTAATTAATAAATATTTTTGAGCACCTCCAACGTGGTAGGTCCTCTTCTAGAAAATGAACAGCATTAGTGCTTATGAAATAAATCTATGTGCTCTCAGATAGCCTGTATTATATTTACAGAGATAAACAATAAACAGATAAACTGATTTAGGTAATAACACGTTTTCAAATAGGTTTATGAATCATGAAAAAAATTAAGCAGGATTTCATGATGGAGTGGCTAATGGGATATAGCTGGAGACAATAAGAGAAGGTGGTCAGAAAGGTTTCTTTAAGTAACTTATATTTAAGCCAAAAGAATCATTAATTTGTTACACAGAGTCCTTTATCAATTTTTGGTAAACTGATTAAACCTGCATGTTGATTTTGAGTAGCATACAGACATTTGTTATTAAAACTAAAAGGAAGAAATGAAAGGTTATTTCAAATAATAAATCTTTTTAAAATTTTCCTAAAAGAATCAAATTCAAATAGGTTTACTTAAACGAATCAAATTCAAATAAGTTTACTTATTATTTGAAGTATTTGAAAGAATTAGAGCCTTGCTATAAAGGGAAAAAATAAAGCAGATCAAAATGCCCCAATCCTGAGATTAGCTCCACAGTAGATGATCTTCTGTAGTTGCACTATTCACCATGGTTGACTACTAGTCACATGTGCGCTTTAACGAACATAGACAAATGAGACTTAAATTAAAAAGTTTCTGTACAGCGAAAGAAATAATCAACAGAGTGAACAGAAAACTTACAGAATGAGAAAAAAATATTTGCAAGTTATGCATCCCACAAGGGACTAATATCCAGAATTTGCAAGGAACTCAAGCAACCCAACAACAACAAAAATAAATAAATAACCCCATAAAAAGTGGTCAAAAGCACATGAACAGACATTTTTCAAAAGAAGACATAGAAATGGCCAAGAAGCATATGGAAAATAAAAGTTCAGCGTCACTGATCATTAGAGAAATACAAATTAAAACCAAAATGAGATACTTATCTCATACTAGTCAGAATGGCTATTACTAAAATGTAAACAAAACAAAACAAAACCCAAAAAACAGATGTTGGTGAGAAAGACCAAAAGAACACTTATATGCTGTTTGTGGGAGTGTAAATTAGTGTGACTTTTATGCAAAACAGTATGGAGATTTCTCAATTAAAAATAGAACAACCATTTGATCCAGCAATCCCCCTCCTGGGTATGCACCCAAAAGAGAAGAAATCATTATATTAAAAAAATACCTGCACTAGTATGTTTCTCTTAGTACTATTTACAATAGCAGACATAGATGGAATCAACCTAAGTGTCCCTCAGTGGGTGATGGGATAAAGTAAATGTGGTAAATATATACAATGAAATACTACTCAGCCATAAAAAAGGATGCAGTCAATCTTTTGCAACAGCATAGATGAAACAGGAGGCCATTATCTTAAGTGAAATAACTCAGAAACAGAAAGCCAAATACTGCATGTTCTTACTGATAAGCAGCAGCTATATAATGTGTACACATAAACACTGAGTGTGGAATAGAAGACACTGCATACTAGGAAGAGTGAGAAGGCAAGGAGGGAGGTGAGTCCTGAAAAAATTACTTGATGAGTACAACGAGCATTATTCAGGTGATGGTTACACTAAAATTCCAGGCTTTACCACTATGTGATATATTCATGTAACACTTAAACCCCTTAAATTGCCCTTGAACCCCGCTAAATGTACACACACACACAAAGGAAACAAGCCTAGATGACATTGAGATATGTTATAAGTATAATACAAACACTTGTCTTTCAAAAGCTTAGTATAACACAAAATTAAAATATTTATTTTTATTAATTATAGGTTGAAATGATATTTTGACATATTAGGTTAGATTAGGTATATTTTAAAATTAATTTCACCTATTTCTTTTTTCCTTTTTGAAATGTGGCTAAACATTTTAAAATTCTTTATGCAGCTCTTGCTTGGGATTCATATTGTATTTCTGTTCGTCAGCACTATAGAATTGCCAATGCCCCCTTAAATGTATTGTATAGAATTTACAACCTAGTTGTTTAAATACATTAAATGCTCATGAAAGATGATATGTTTTCACATTTAGATGAGAAAATCCAAATAGAAGTTACTGAAGACAAAATAATATTGAGATTATATGATGTTGAAACGATTATCTATTTATTTATTTATTTATTTATTTATTTATTTATTTATTTATTTTTGAGACTGAGTCTTGCTCTATCGCCCAGGCTGGAGTGCAGTGGCACAATCTCAGCTCACTGCAAACTCTGCCTCCCAGGTTCACGCCATTCTCCTGCCTCAGCCTCCACTGTTTTAGCCAGGATGGTCTCAATCTCCTGACCTCGTGATCCGCCCGCCTCAGCCTCCCGAAGTACTGGGATTAAGGCATAAGCCACAGCGCCCGGCCGAAACTATTATCTATAGATGTTTGAGAATGACATGCTAACACAAAATAATCATTGAAATCTGGCAATTTTTGCTTTCTGTTTGTTAGAGAAAAGATTTTGATTTGTTGGCAAACTTGGAATATCATCTAGAATAACAAACTATATACTAAGTTGAGCAGGCAATTTTTTTTTTTGGGGGGGGGATACTGTTTCACTCTTGTTCCCCAGGCTGGAGTGCAATGGCACGATCTCGGCTCACGGCAACCTCTGCCTCCCAGGTTCAAGCAATTCTCCTGCCTCAGCCTCCTGAGTAGCTGGAATTACAGGCATGCGCCACCAAGCCCGGCTAATTTTGTATTTTTAGTAGAGACAGGCTTCTTCCATGTTGGTTAGGCTGGTCTTGAACTCCTGACCTCAGGTGATCCAGCCACCCTGGCCTCCCAAAGTGCTGGGATTACAGGCATGAGCCACCACGCCCGGCTGAGCAGGTAATTTTTTATTATTTACTACTATGTGGAAGCTACACTTAAACTTATCTATCTTTTTTAGGGACCACCCTTGGGCTAAGTTTTAAGAAACCTTTGCTCAAATAATTTGGTCTAAGGAAGTCAACCAGCAATATAGATTGGCAGAAAAACATTCTCTAGGCTGAAAGAGTTCTGATGAAAAAGAGGTTACCTTCTGTTGTTTTCATTTGATTGCTTGCTTGTTTGTTTTAAACAGCCCTTTCCCACACATAGAGGCATGTTTTAAAGGCAGAAATACTTAGATGTAAAGCCTTAAAAGATTAACAGGGATACCAGTTGACAATTACCAGTTTAGTACAAGTAGAAAACACAAATCTGGTTTTAGCTAAAGTCCTTAAGTACTTTCAGCTTCTAAAGAGTACTTGGCATGATAGAATACTATAATATTTTATCTGGTAAATATTGTGTAGAATATCTAAATGGTAGTGTTCTTGCAGGCTAAGTGGTGTCCTTTTTAACAATGAGTAATTGGTTATTTGATAATAGGCTTTTTGTGTTAGAGGTCTGTCTTGAAGGATTATCTATTTTCCACTCCATGCTTATATGAATATTTGTTCATGCTGATACAGCATATCTGTAATCTTTGCATAGTAATTACTATTACTGCATAATAATCACTCCAGTATTCAGTGGGTTAGAACCACAATTATGTTACACTCACTGATTCTGCAGTTTAAGAATTTGGAAAGGTCACAGCAGAAATAGATTTTCTGTGTTCAGTGATAGGGTCTCAGCTGAAGAAACTCAACATTTGAGGGCAGGTGACCAGTATCACCTGGAAGTATCTTCACAAATCATTGAGCAATGCATTCTAGCTGTCAAATTTAAACTAAACTTGGACTTTGGATGGTAGATCTGCATGTAAATTCTTCACGTGTCTTGGGCTTCCTAAGAGCATGGCTTCCTTACATGACAATTCAGAGTGTTTTAGTGAGTAAGATAGAAGCCACATTGAATTTTATTACCTAGCCTCAGAAATGACACAATATCACTTCCACCTGATCTTTTTAGTTAACAAGCAAATCACCAGCCCACTGGTATTCAGGGGGAGAAGGTAACATGGACTCTATTTTTTCTTGATGAAATGTCAAAGAATTTGCAGACATTTTTTAAAGCCATCACACACTGGGGGAAAAAAAATCTCTTTGCAGAATCACTCTTGAAAAACAATTACAGAACTGTAAAGGTAGATACTAAAGGAACTTCTAGTTTTCTGGTGGCCTAATTACGTGATTTATATTACAGGGGATTAGGGTTGATAGGAAAAGAACTGAATGTTATTTCTCCTCATAAAGAAAAGTTATTTGATCCATTTAGAAGTTAGTGAATACCCAATTTTCTAGAAACTTGAAAAGAGAATTTGGAATTTAAGCTTTCAGCATCAAATCTTTTTTGCTTTCACTGTTAACAACTTTCATTTTCTTCAAGCTTCTTTATCTTTTCTGTTAGTCCTGAAAATAAATGCACTAGTTTTTGAGTTTTATTCTTTTTATTCTTTTTGAGGAAGTAATCCAGGTATACATTTTTATTGAAAATTAGACCCTGGTGAATGAGACTGCAATCTTTAGGGAATCATTATTTCTTTCATTAGTTAAGTTTTTATTGTTGATTTTAGGATTACTTATTTGCTTACTTTAAAATCAGTCATTGTCCTAAATAAGGATGAATATATGATGGCTAAAATTTTGTGTGTTCATCAGTTGCTCTTACATACATATAAAACACATGCCTAGGTTATCCTTCAGAATATTCCAGAGTACAATGATGTGGGCTTTGCTCTTAGGGAAGTTATATTCTTAGAAAAAATCCACAAACCATAAATAAGGACACAAATAACAAAAACAGGCAGTCATAAGTTTTGTGGTCAAAGAAAAATGGGATAAAAGTGAAATAAGGTGATGTGATAGGACTGAAGATGAAGGTAGGAACTTACTTTCAGGGAAGATCTCAATGGAATTATAATATCCAAACAGGGGCCTAAATAGCAGGACAAGTGTAGTTTTTTGAAACTCTGGATTTTCCGAGTTGATGGTGACTGTTTCAAGTAGAGCAGCCTTCACATTAGTCCCCTTTTTGAGTGTCTAAATTTCAGCCTCATAGAGCAACTTGGTGTTGCTGAAACATAAAATGGCGTCACCTTGCCTTAACTTAGCACGTGTTCTCTTTGCCTATCATGAACTTCTCCTTTTCAGCCAGAAAAACAAACAAACAAAAATAAACAAACACCATAACCCCCCAACTCTTCCTGTTTAAGATCCAACTCAATTATAAACTTGCCTTTTGCCTTTTTTCACCTTTCCAGTGACTTTCCCCTCTATCTTTTCAGAATGTTTTACCACTAATCGTAGTATATCAGTGGTATTTGTCTTAATGTTTCCTATTTATTATTCTTACTAAATGGTGAGCTTGACTGAAGCAACTGTTTTATTTTTGTGTACGTTTATGTCTACCTCAGTGCTCCTTGGATAATAAACTCAAAAAATGCTTCTTTAATATAGCTTTGACTCTCCAAACCAAATTATTTTGTATCAAGAGATTGCTGTTTGATATTAACTATTTCCAAGAGACTTCATTCAATTATATTTGACCACGTTTTGTGTCTCTACCAATCCATGGGAGCTGACATTATGAAAACTTCCCCAGTAACTCCCCTAGCACAGTTCTAAAACTTGAAAGATGATTTAATGAATTGACTGTGTTTTTGGTCAGTGATGAATAACAACCCCTGAATGAGATGATTGATATTTATTGTATGGGATTTGTAGCCTTTCAAACACATTCTACCAACTAATCACCTCCCTTTAAGTGTAAATGTGTTTTCAGTGCCCTGCAGTCTCAAGAGCTATTCTGTTCATTCTTTGGTAATTGTAGGTTAGCTTGTCTATTAAGAACTATGGAATAAAAATTACAGTGGTGAGAAAGTCATACATGTGCATTCTCATTCAAGAAAAAAACAAAGAGAAGAAACATACTGCCCCACCTTGTTTGCATGAAACTCTAGAATCTGGTGTTTCTCTATTTATCTGCTCCCTCTTTGCCTACCTTGGTATTTCTTTTTTTTTTTCTTTGTAACTATGGTTTTTACCTAAAGTTTAAACTTTTTATTATTATTTTCTCTCTAAATTCTTGCTAGTTAATAACATTATTAACTTCAAGATTTTAGAAGAGCAGTGATGATAGTAATGATCGATAACTAGACTATCGAGTTTCAGAAGAAACTTCCAAGTATATATAATGTTTGACATAGCCTTTATTTCTACAAATCTACTACCTGTAAACTAACATTTTAAAATACCTGTATATGGCTGGGTGTGGTGGCTTACACCTGTAATCCCAGCAGTTTGGGAGCCTGAGGTGGGCAGATTGCTTGAGCCCAGGAGTTGGAGACAAGCCTGGACAAAATAGACCTCTCTCTACAAAAAGTACAAAAAATTAGCTGGGTGTGGTGGCACACGCCTGTAGTCCCAGCTACTCAGGAGGCTGAGGTGGGAGGATTGCCTGAGCCCAGGAGATGGTGGTTGCAGTGAACTGAGATCACCCCATTGCACTCCAGCCTGGATAACAGAATAAGATGCTGTCTTAAAAAAAAAAATACCAGTATGGATTTATTATTATTATTATTATTATTATTATACTTTAAGTTTTAGGGTATATGTGCACAATGTGCAGGTTAGTTACATATGTATACATGTGCCATGCTGGTGCGCTGCATCCATTAACTCGTCATTGAGCATTAGGTATATCTCCCAATGCTATCCCTCCCCCGTCCCCCCACCCCACAACAGTCCCCAGAGTGTGATGTTCCCCTTCCTGTGTCCATGTGTTCTCATTGTTCAGTTCCCACCTATGAGTGAGAATATGCGGTGTTTGGTTTTTTGTTCTTGTGATAGTTTACTGAGAATGATGATTTCCAATTTCATCCATGTCCCTACAAAGGACATGAACTCATCATTTTCTATGGCTGCATAGTATTCCATGGTGTATATGTGCCACATTTGTGGATTTTAATCTCCTATATTATTCATCTCTCTAAAATGCCACATAAGTTTCCAGCATATACCCTGTGTTTTATAAGGGTAGTCTCCTGACTGGTCCCTGATGATGTGGTCTTGATATCTTAATTTTTGTGACCAGTTCCAATTTGCTCTAATTCAATTCCCTTTATACAGTGTTGCTTACCTATCTTATAATTTCAAATTCTACCTCTACGAATCATTACCTCAGCCTTCATAAACATTTCCATTTTTCTTACTATAGCAAATAAGAACTTGATCAAATAAAATTATTATATCCCATTGAGATACTTAAATATTTGAGATATTATTATATCCCTTAGAGATATTTAAATAGTTTAGTGATATTGAAAATTCCTCAAAAGAATAGGCCATCAAAACTTAAAATATTTATGTAATATACTGTGGTGTATATAACAGATACATAATAAAACCTTGTGGCAGATTGATTTTCAGGAGAAAATAGTTTCATTAAGCAAGTTGGTAAACCAAAATACAAATAAAGAAGCTGATTGTTCACATGTCCTAATAAATTGTTCTTATATTAAAATTCAGTCCTATTCCACTTCAGCTTTGCAGAGACACTGAGTTCCAATAGTCTCACTAAAGCGTGTATGAAGTCAATAGGTTTTACACAAAAGTAAAGTTTGAATAAATTAATCTTGGATTAGGAACTGTATTCAAAGAATGGATTCAGTGCAGAACCTTTAGACTGAAGAGCAGCTCTTTGAGAGGTTGTTAATAACACAATGAAGATGGTAGCATAATTCTTGTTGAGTTGATGACCTTAATTAGGTGTTGACACATGCATTCAATTAAATTTAGTAATTTACTGAATTACTGATCTTCAGCCTAGAAACTCTTATTTCAGCTAATAGAGAGTTCTAAACTTAGCACACTTCTTATAATAGGACTTATGTTGAATGCCACAATTTTTTCTTAGGAAACCAAGAGGGGAAAATGAATGATGTCCTTTCTTTTTCTCAGTCAACATTTTTTTAACTGTCAACATATAATCATCTGGTGCATCTTAAATGCAAGACTCTGGTAACATACAAATCTTACGGCACTTAAATGAAAATAAAATTCTTGCAACTTTCAACCAAGAAAAATGCTCTAGGTAATAAATGGAAAATAACTGGATATCAAGGATTTTTTTTTTCTTTTTTCTTTTTTTTTTACTTAATATAGGAACTGTGCTTGTCCAGGGGGAAAAGATTCTTTTAGTAAAATTGTGTGGCTGATATAAAGTCACATCACTGAAGCAATTGAAACAAAGCAATTGAAGCAAAGCTTCAAACACACACGTGGGAGAGAGAGATAGAGAGATAAAGAAAGACTTAGGATACCTTAGCCACCATAAAAGTAGAAAAAAAATCCTAAGTGGTAATCATTAGCTGAGATAGACATTTATCAGAAAGTGTTAGAAAAATGTTTAAAACCATTGATAAAAATTACCTAACAGTCTACTTTGACAAATTATAGTTGCAGATAGATATTTATGCAATTAATAATTTAAACCAAATGCATGGAAATAACATCTCAACACAGACTAGCATAAATAATGATGATACCCAGAGTAACAGAATAGAACAAAGAAGATGATACAAAGATATTTTGGTCCTGATAGATCAGCCAGAAACATTCCTTAGAAAAACCTGCATAAGGACTGCCAATGTTTATGGTATTGAAAAGTTACATCCAAAACCTATTGCTTATTATTAATTTCTAAATAATTATGCTTAAATAAATAACATGATAAATGCAGTGTCTTGTTATGTACTTGTTATTCTTGGTCAAATGGATTGCATTATGATAAAATTCATTTCTAAATAATCCATCCAATCATTAAACTAAAAGGATATCTGAACAGGGTAACCACTTTTCTTCTTTCTGTTACTATTACAATTCAAGTGAGGAAGTCAGGTTAGTAGGATCTTTAGCAGAATTTTGCCTCAGTAAAAATTGTTTTTGTTCCTGTGCATTATAGTTATACTTACGATAGCATAGCAGGATATAGGGAGGTCAGTGCTAACTGGAAGATGCAATGTTTCTTGTGGAAATTAAATCCTATCAGAGATATAACAATAAGCATTCTTTAAAACATACTAAATAATTTAAGCACATATATTATTAAATGCCAGTTTGTACAGTTTTCATTTCTATGGACAATCTGAAGTAAGAATGATCATGGCTAGGTATGTCAGTTAAGTGTATTTTGGTTGCATAGCACAGCAAATTCAATCTAAAGTGGTTTAAACAAAAGGGAAAAATAATTGCAGGTAACTGAGACTTCCAACAACACAGATGAACTTCCTAGCTGCTTGATTCAAAGAATCAAACAGTGCCCCTCTTGATCCAATTGTTATCTCCAAGTCTTGGTTCTGTATTGTACTAGCTCCATTCATAGACAGACTTTGTAATTGTGTTTGCAAGGTTGCTCCACTAGTCCAATACTGCGGGGAAAGAAGACCATCCCTGCATGAGAAATTTCAGCAAAAGCACAGGATGTCTAATTGGTTCTGATGAGGTCATTTGTGCATCCAAGAGCCAATCACCGGGGCCAGAAGAGTGTGAGGCTCTCATCAGCCAGACTTGAGTCACATGCCAGCCTTGGCCCTGTGAATGAAATCAGTTTCATGGGAGTCACATGTACTTAATAAAGTTGGGGAATTACTTAGAGTTTACATCTCAATCATGTCATCATGTACTTGGGGGAGGGGACGAATATTTCCCCATATGAAAATCAACAACTAAAAACATATATTGTCTACTGCATGATAGATCTAGAATATAACCTAGGAAGTTTCTAAAGAAGCCTGGAATAGTCTAGCCTTGAAGAATGGGTAGATGTGCTCCTCTTGACGAACTAAAAGAGAAACACAGAAGATTCAGAATCTTGTCTGGCATAGCAGCAAATACAGTTATTGTCAGTGAAGATACTTCTTTTTAAAAATAAAAAGAGCCAATGAAATACATACAAACTAATAAAATTTGCTTGTACTATATCAAACTTAGTCATACTAAATATTTACAAGCTAATTTATTTATTCCAAAATGCAACTGTTTCTGAGATCCTGGTAAATAGAAGAGAAGAACGTAACGTTTTTTCTTTAAATTATATTTTATATGCAGGTTTCTGTTTTCTTTCAGTGGTTTACAGGAAGTTACACATTAAACACAACATCTTTTACTCTGCCCTAAATTTAGTTTGTGGTTTTTCTTTGGTTTCTTCAGCTTCAGGTTTACAGAAAATAGTCACGTGAACCAAAAGTGAGTAGACAAAAGGGTTGCCACCTTGAAAGTATATCTATACTGTAGATGTTGCATCCTGACGTCTATTTTCTAAAGAGCTTGTTATAAAACTTTGATATTCAGGCATTTAATCCATCTGATTGATTTATAGGTATCGGATTAAGGTGGAGTTGAAATCATTGCTTGAGATCTGACATCAAGGAGGAGGGAGCAGGGAAGGGAGTGAAGGGAGAGAAAAAGAGGGAGAGAGAGAGAGAGAGGAATAAAATGAAATATTGTCCTAAACCAGATATAAGAGATTCAAATGTTTCTTGATCTTTGGAATGTGTGAAGTGTATTTGTATCAGAATGGAAATGCCTTTCAATGTGAGCTTTCTGCATTGTAAAGAAGGAAATTGGCTTTCCATTCCTGCTTCAGCCTTTTATCATCAAAGATGCTGCTATTTTGGTATCTGAAATGTGATGACAACATATGACCTTCAGAGATTCTGAGTGGAATCCAGTGGGTGGTATATGCACTCCACACCTGTGTTTCTCTCAGACACAATTACTTAGACTCAGGATAACTTTATATCAGCTGTGTTAATGATGTTGTATCATCAAGCGATAACATGATCACAGCTTTTGACACTGATTTTCTTAGGTATGGCATCAGTTTTCTCATAAACTTATTACCTTCCTCTTTTCTTCCATTAGCTTCATTTTATTTTGACTGTGAGGTTAATTTTCATTAAGCCTGAGTGAAATACTGAAGGGAAAATATGGAATCTGACAACTTCAACAAGAAAGGGAAAAGAAAAGTGGCAGAAGATTTCAAAACAAATGTAAAGGAAGACAGGGCAACATTGACTCTGGTTAAAATTAAAAGCAAAGAAATAGACGCTTGGAGACTCAACTGTGAGGAAATACTGACATTTATCCAGTGTTCTTTAAGGGAGATTGAATGAGTACTTGCTTTTCCTCAGAGTCTATTTTATTTAGAATGTTATGTACCCTTATAATATAGAATGAGAGTTGTCCATTTTTGTATTTTTGTATTATTTTAACTGTTGGTTGAGAAAGATTGAATTGTAGGTAATAAAACATATGGATGAAACAGAAAAGATTATTTTTTATCATATGCTCTATCATAAATCCAAGATTATATGATTTGATTTCTTTAAAAAATATTATTTATTAAAGATGACTGAGTCTTAAGTAACTGATTTCTAGAGACTGCAGTATATTTGTGTGTGGATATGTGTGTATATGTGAGATTCTGTGTTTTATTCTTTCTCTTTAATTCAAGTAATTTTGTATTAATAAGATTTTAAATTGGGCTGGCCCAGAATAGTTATTACCCCATAAGTTCTACATCTTGAAGATCTGCTTATTTAGTGTTGAAGACAGAATTTTAACACCAAGAAAATTAGAAAATGTCAGACACTATACACCCACTAAAGAAGTGGTAAGCAAATGAATATGTCCTTTACCCTGGAACCTAAGAGCTTAAATCAAATTTGCCCAGTTTGGGGGCATAGTGAAAAATGTTCTGTTTGTTTTATGCTCCTGGTATTTATATATTAGAGACTTTTTATGTATTTTTGAAGCAAACAAAGGAAGGGGTCAAGAATTGAAGTTTCAGGACCCTTCAGTGTCTGCAATGACCAAATATTTAACATAATTACAATTTTCAGTTTTCCTTTTCTCTTTGTAAGTAGACTTAATAAAGTTGGGGAATTACTCAGAGTTTACATCTCAATCATATCATCATCCATCATTCAGAGATTTCAATCTAGTATTTCAATCTAGTAATAAGCTAGAGAATATTTTAAAATTTGGAAAACTTGAAAATAGAATCAATTAAGAAAATATAGAAAGTATTTTTGATTTATTGTATAACTTTTGCATAAATGTCAATTTTTAAATTAAATTGAGTTTATATCATATATGGTAATCAGATAATTTCTTATAAGTTGTTATTCTGCAAGATTATTTTATTGCATATAGGATATTTTAATCTTTGAATATGCTATAATCCATTTAAATTTCTACAGATTTTAGAGTTGGTGTTCTTTGTTTCCATTTTAAAACAAAATTATAAATATGTAAATTGGTCTTTGCAAATTAGATCTGTCTATATACACACTATATTGGCTATTTTCTTTGAAGTTTTTACAAATTTGCATTTCAATTGTCTGTGGGGTATTTTTATAATAAAGTATCACTTCATAGTTAAAAATAAAATCAACCTAAAAGATGCTAACTGGATAGGCAAAAATTTATGTCACATTTTAATTTGCATTTTACTTCTATAGTAAGTTAGAAATGAACATTTTTTAAAGTGTATTATTCATATTGACTTTTGTTTATTAATTGCATATTTATATAATATGCTTGTTTTTCTATTGCTTTTCAGTATGTATGTATGTATGGTACGTATTTATTTATTTATTTTTGAGACAGAGTCTCTCTCTCTGTTGCCCAGGCTGGAGGGCAGTGACACAACCTCAGTTCACTGCAAACTTCGCCTCCCAGGTTCAAGTGATTCTCCTGCCTCAGCCTCTGGAGTAGCTGGGACTACAAGTGCCCACCACCACTCCTGGCTAATTTTTGTATTTTTAGTAGAGACATGGTTTCACCACGTTGGCCAGGCTGTTCTCAAACTCTTGACCTAAGGTGATCCGCCTGCCTCGGCTTCCCCAAGTGCTGAGATTACAGGTGTGAGCCTGTATACATGCCTGGACTCAGTATTTATTTATTTTTTTAGTATCCATATTCAATACTCAGATCTACTAGGACTTGCAGATTTTATGAAGACTATAATCATAATATAAATACAAAATAAGTAGTATTCATATCCAATTTGTGAATTGGTAGTCACTTTTCTTAGTAAAGACACTATTTGCAAAACTTGACCTTGTCCGAGCTATAATACATGCAGTTGTCCACAGCGTTACTAAGGACAAGTCATCATAGATCACTGAGAAGACAGCTTAAGGCAAGCATCTTCAGTTAAAGTTTGTATTGCCACAACATTTTTTAGAGCTTCAGATTTGCTGTTATATTAATATTTTGGTAACATATCTAACATAGGTTTAACATGAAACAGGCCACACAAAAACTTTTTCAGGGTTCCGATAACTGACACATCAAAAAAATTCATGTAATTATTTTTGTAGGTAAGTCTAAAATACTATAGGTTTGTCCAAACTGTTATGGGGCTGTTCCAAAAGCAAACAAAAAACCAAAGCTCTTGAGACCATCTAAAGATCCTGTATTTGTCAGTTTAGGCTGCCATAACAAAATATCACAGATTAAGTGGCTTCAACAACAGTCATTAATTTTTCTATAGCTCTGGAGGCTGGAAGTCCCAGATCTAGGTGCTGGCAGGGTTAAGGTCTCTCTTCCTGGGGTTTCGAAAGCCACCTTCTCACTGTCCTCACATGGCCTTTACTCTGTGCAGGCACACAGAGAGAGAGCCATCTTGTGTCTGTTCCTCTACTTATAAAGACACCAGTTCTACTGGATTAGAGCCCTACGCTTATAACCTCGTTAGCCTTAATCACCATTTTACAGGCCCTGACTCCTAATACAGTCATACTGGGGGCTAGAGCTTCAACATATGAATTTTGTGAGTGACACAATTAAGTCCATAACAGATACTTAGAGCTTTTGCTAAGCTCATAATATATAACAGAAGCAAGAGATTCTGAGCCACTGGACTTGTAAAAAGTAAAATTTCTAAAATATCAAGCAGGAATCAACATCTAAATAAGTGGATTAGTTCAATTAAAAAATCTGTTTAATCTGTTTTCTTCCACTAACAGCTTACCTCTGCAAATGGAAACTATTTAACCTCAAGGGACAGACTGTACTGTGGAGCCTTTGCTTGACTTTACCAACAACAATGCAAGGCAATAAATAGATCAATCTTAGGCGCAAATGCGCATTTCATTTTCAAATTTATAGTGTGTATAACCCTATATCAGAACTTTTCAAGAATGACTGAATTCATTCATTGTGTAAAAATAAGTGCTGCAAATGCCAGTTTATGTATATTATTTTCTGCTTATAATTTCTTCTTTTTTTTTTCGAGACGGAGTTTCACTCTTGTTGCCCAGGCTGGAGTGCAGTGGTGCGATCTCCGCTCACTGCAACCCCCGCCTTGGGTTCAAGTGATTCTTCTGCCTCAGGCCTCCCGAGTAGCTGGGATTACAGGCATGCGCCACCATGCCTGGCTAATTTTGTATTTTTAGGAGAGACAGGGTTTCTCCATGTTGGTCAGGCTGGTCTCAAACTCTCAACCTCAGGTGATCTGCCTGCCTTGGCCTCCCAAAGTGCTGGGGTTACAGGTGTGAGCCACCGTGCCTGGCCGTAATTTCTTATACATCTACAGGTTTGAAAAAAATAATATTTGAAATGTAGTCTCGGAGCCATCTGCCACTCTCATTCTCAGATTTTGTTGGGTCAGCTCAGAAGTTTTGCTGTTAGAAAATGTATCCCTCTAAGACAATTCTAACAGATGGTTATTTTTATTGTTTCCCACATTATCCTGTGTTTTAAAGTGGATATACTGGTGACCATCTGAGAATGTGCCCAGAAAGTTGGATTTTTTTCTTTTTGTTTTTTAAATTTTCATCCAACTGAAACATCTATTCATGAAAACAACTTTGTGGGAAAGTTGTGACTTCCCCTAAGGCAGTTTCATCAGTGTAGCTTAGCCACACTGCAAACAGAAGCAGATCTGGTGTCTTAGTAGAGTTTATAATTTAGCAAAGATTGTATAAATATATCTGACCATACTCAGGGTGATGTTCTTCTTTCCTTCAACCATGATTATATCAGAAGGGTAGTCTTAAAAATGAGTGTCCCTTTCCTCCAAACAAATTACAGTGTTTTTTAGGCTAATTTTTCTATGTTGCCTGGAGCAACAGTAGTTTAAGGTGTCTTTGTGTTTTTGCAGGTTTGGGTGCATATTTAAAACCTTTGAATTACTGTTACTTTCCTAGATTGTGTTAAACATGAATGTACACCAAAACCTGCAGTTTAGTTCTTAATATAAGCATTTTCTTTATGTATTTTAAAAGTTAATTTGTATTTCCTATTTAATTCCTTCTTTCAAAATTAATATGAGCTATGACATTAAATGCTATTAAGTTGAGATACATAGTGTTATGAGCAGATGTAATGAAGGAAAGGATTATGGTCACCAAGGTCAAGGAAGGCTTTTTGGACAAAAGCTATTTTGTCCCTGATAGCGGATTTCCTTGATATCTGAACTAGGAGGAACAACTAATTAAGCAGGGTGTGGTAAGCAGAGCCCAGACTTTGTAGCAAATGGCAAGCCATTGTTAAATCTTTTGATCTTTTTCTTTGATCAAAGTCTTTGATCTTTTGATCTTTTTTAAAAAAATAGCAGGGAAAGACAATGCAAAAATTTAAGCATTGATCTGATTTACATATTTAAGTAAACACTTTGACTGCTGTGCTCTAGGGTGTTAAGAATGGGTGGAGGGAAATCATTTAGGAAGCCATTACCTTCTTGGGGTGAGAAATAATAGAAATTTTTCTAAAGAGTTAGTTATTGCTGGAGAGAAATCAGTGGCTTTAAGAAAAATTCAGGAGATAAGGTTGGTAAGACATGCTGATAGATACGATATGGTTAGAGAAAAGGAAACCAGTATTAAGGATGATGGCATTTTGAGTGCAATTGCTTATCAGATTTGTGCATAGAGATCTTAAGTATAGTTTCCAATGTGTGGAATTTGAGATATCCTTAAGACCGCTAAGTGTTAGATGTTAATTAGGTTGAATATGTAGGACTGGAGCATCGATGAAACAAAAATATTCTAGGCTATATTTATAAATGTTTGTGAATGAAGTTACCTAGGAGATAATGTAGAGTGATTTTTAAAAGTTAAGAAAAATTTTCAATTTTCATGTAAAATGGATTACACTTGTTTTTTATAATTCCAATGTACATTACTATCAGTAGGTATACATTACAGATAAGTTAATTTCACAAAAGCCTAAAAAAGGACTTGTAGACCCTCACGACTCTAGGAGTAGAAATTGGCTCAGGATCTATTACATATATTACACCAATGTGTGTGATTGAGCAAAGGCTAAGCAATGAAAAAGTTCTAGACTTTTAAGGTCCATTCTAGATCTGATATTAATCTATTACAAAATCAAAGGGAATCAGATATTTCCAATTTGTTTTTAATTTGTTACAACAAATATGAATTATTTATTTTAGGAGAATAATAGATGATTAAAAGGAAATAAAAATGAGAGACAGATATAAGGACAAAGTCAACAACTTTTAAAATCATAATATGTCATCCATAGTTACAAAGTTAATATTACCATGCTTTGAAAACATCTGTATTTAAAACAGAAGTCTGATGTTTTCATGAATCTCAAGGTTGGTCATCACACTTGGAGAAATGGAGAAATTGTTCCATGTTGTACTTAAACATTATGGAGCATTTCGTAGTATCATTTAAATAGTCTCAGATTTCATGTTCATCATAGTAACTGTTCTCCCACAAAGATATGGTTAAAAAAATGCAGTAATAATAAGTCCATAGGTCAAGTTTTTAAAGGCTCTAGGAATCATATCATGCAACATATTTGGTCTATGGCACTTTGTCTATAAATTATTCATGACCAGAGGAGTGCTGATCATTTTACTGCATTCAGCAGTGAGGTATTTCCAAAATGTTGCTTGAGGAATCATTGCACATTTGTGACCAGAAAAGTAGAAATGTAAGACCAGTGGTTTTTCATATTCTCTGCTTTGCATAACCATCTTAATGTGTAATGAATTCTAGAACCACAAGATGTAGGGATTCTGTTCAACCACATACTGCATCAGAAACCTTGAATATGTCATTTCAGCAGAATAACATATTATATTGTAAGCAGTAGTAAAACCATATTATTGAGTTACTGAGTTTCACTCTGAGATACTTTAAAATCTGGTTCTTATCAATGCATTCCTTTAAACAACTGCTATTAAAATCTTGGCTACTTTTAGAGAGAAATAATAAGCAAAACCCATGAGAAATGCTGGAGCAGGTAGTAGGGTTTCCTTCTCTCCTCCTTACTCAGAGTTTAATAATAGCCCGGAAGTTTGATACCTGAGAAGTAAGGTAACTAAGAATCAAGAAAGCATATAATTTGATCTTTGTTCTATTTTAGGTTCCCTGATATAATAATAATAATAACATAAGCTATATTTTGTGTCGTAATTCCAAAGGTGTAAAACTTTGATTTTATAACATTCTTCATATCTACTTGTAGTTGGAATACAGCATTTGCTAACAGTACTAATTTCAAACTTTTTTTGAGTAGAATGCTAATGGGAACCACAAACATCAACCATATACGTAAATTTTAAATTGTGATAGCCACACTAAAAAAAAGCAAAAAGAAACAGGAAAAATATTTTAATAATATGTTTTAGCATATTACTAATATCGAATCAATGTAAAAATTAACAAGATAGTTTACATTATTGTTTTCATACTAAGACATCACTATCTGCTTTGTATTTTATACTTAGAAGCACATGTTAATTTTGACTAGCCACACACTTCAAGGGCTCAGTAGACATATGACTAGTGGCTGCCAAATTAGAAGCGAAGTTCTAGGTACTCACACATGACACATTTATAATTTCTGATTATCCTAATAGATATGTGGAAATGTAGAGACAAGAGTAAGGACCTTGAGTTTGAAATCTATAACATATCCAAACCAAAGGTTTACTCTCTAGGAACATACAACTTAGCTTCGTTATTTATATATAGACTCAATACGAGTAAAATTTGGGGGAAAATAAAAGAGTATATTCCTAGGTTAAAAACTGATGAGTCTCTCTCAACCCTGCAGATAAATCGGAAGTTCAAAATAAGAGTTATCCATATTTGATAGCAAAATAAGTAAGCAGAGATCCTAATCACCCATGGAGAGTAGAGAAAGTGTCAGAATGGCACATAGGTCCAATAGGGTCAAGGAAAATTCGAAATAAAAAGTCTCAAAAATTAGCCAAAAATTATCCTCAGGAGATAGTCAGGATTGTACCTTCATTTAATTACCTTCAATTCTCAGGAGAAACTAGAGAGAATTGGTCCACCTTTTGATATCGTATTAAAAACTCATTGAGATGAGTTAGATAAGCCAGTTATAATATTGCCTGAGGATTCCAGGAAAAAATAATACAAAAATGTTGACTTTTTCTACTTTTTAGCTTTATACAACATTAAAATCACCTAATTTGTAAAAGAAAATTCTATGTATCACAGTCAGATTGTCCAAATAACACAAGTTTTACCAAAATATCCTACTTAAGTACTTTTGGCATTTCTTTGCCATCTCATCTTAGTGGTTCTTATTATTCCCACAGTGTTGGCAGCAAGAAAAAGGCAAACCTTAAATATGATGTTACCAAAAATAGCAGAGTAAACATGTTAAGAATTAACAAACATATTTTCTCAAGGATGTAATCGGAAACTTCTCTCTTTGGAAATTAGATTTTTTTAATAACATAGACATAGAATATAGTCTTATTTGTATCAAGTAAAATATGTATATTTTTAAAATTTTCTGGCCTACTAACGCACCTCTAAAAGTGAGATATTCTGGAAGAACAAAAGGCATAATGAATTGTTTTTGAAAATTTCATCAAGACTGAGAATACTAAATTTCTTTAAAGGGCTAAATAAAACCAGTATGAGCACCAAATATTTACCAGGGACCCCAAATTTATACAGTCACCCTTCCTATTAAGAATTTCATACATCGAAAAGTGATACAAGAACCATATACTATTCTTTTGATAATATAGTTTTTTAAATAGATTCTTTAAATCTATTTTTAAATTCTTATTAGCAGATACCAGCACTATGGTCAGCTCTTTTCCAGAACCTGTAATCAATGTGTAAGGCTTTGTCCTATATGTGTGGCCTCTCTGGGCACAAGCAAATCTATGTGGCAACTTCTTCAGAAGGCCATGTCTATATGTAGCGTATGAGAAATATGGCAAAAAAAAAAAATTCCACTTCAGTTTAATAATATTGTTACCAAACCATTTTCTGAATTATAATATTAAATGTTAAAGATATTTTCTTTTTCCTTTTTGTTTTTTTACATTAAGGTAGGAATCCTATTTTCTCTGTGAAAATATAATACATAGAAATGACTTTTGGACATGGATAACTCATTTCTATTTTAAGTTTTTTAAAATTTGTATCCTGTTAACATGTCACACACTTCCTAGTCCCTAAGGTCCTGGAATCCTTTTTCTCTAATGCTTTCCTTTGCCCTCTTTCAACTTCAAAGCCAAATTTTTATACCATTGTATATATCTTACTATCCTTCTCAACTGTTCTATTTCTGAAATCTTAAACTCTTTATGTGAAACACTCTATTCTTTTTTTTTTTTTTTTTTTTTTTGAGATGGAGTCTCTCTCTGTCGCCCAGGCTGGAGTGCAGAGGTGCGATCTCAGCTCACCGCAACCTCCACCTCCCCGGGTTCAAGCTATTCTCCTGCCTCAGCCTCCTGAGTAGCTGGGATTATAGGCACCCACCACCACGCCCGGCTAATTTTTGTATTTTTAGTAGAGGTGGGGTTTCACTATGTTGGCCAGGCTGGTCTCAAACTACTGACCTCAAGTCATCCACCCGCCTTGGCCTCCCAAAGTGCTGAGATTACAGGTGTGAGCTACCACACCTAGCCAGATGCTTTCTTAAAGCAGACTAAGATGTCTGCTTCTTCCTGTCATAAGTTATCTCTCCTGCAACCCTATATTTACCTCTAGTTAAATTTCCATCCCCGTCCTATTCACATTCATACTTTAAAAGACACTAATTTCCCTATCTCTCACTCATCACTTTGGCTGTTGTAATATGTCTTTTATTTACTCAAATACTCTTTGGAGTGTTGGCTATCAGACCTCCTGTCTGTCCAATCCAATGGGCTTTCCCTAGTTCTTATTTAGACATTTCTGAATCAAGCACATGGGAACACCACGAAATTCTTAAAACACCCTTCTTTCCATAAGCTGAGCTCTCTTCTTCTCTTACATGACTACTCATAAAATCACCCTTGAAAAAAGTAACTTATTCTTTTAGTTTGGCCTGTCCCTTCAATACTAGTGCGTCCCATCTGGTTTAGCCCTAGGCAAATTTACTTCTGCCATTTGACATTTTCTCCTTCTGTAATTTCCTCTATTACTTTGACTTCAGCTACAACTTAAATGCTAAAATTTCACAAATATGTAGCTAATCTAATGTCTCCGGCTTTAGGAGGTGATGATGATGATGATGATGATGATAAGATGATGCCAGTGCTCTTCAGCCAAAGCCCACCAGCTATACACCTAACAGTTAAGCAAGTTGAATGTGTTGATTGTTGCAATGAGGGAGAGCACACATCATGGGGAACTTTGGGCACCTTTAGTAAAACGATGTTACAAAGAACTAGTTATAGGATTGTGCTTGGGTTATGTGATTTGGGGGGAGGGTTCAAGGAGATGGGGCTTGGCTCTGGATTGGAAGCTATGAGGAAGCAGACAGAAATATATAATTGGGTATCTTAATAAATCTTACCTAGAAGAAAGGAATAATAGACCAAAGCTAAAGCTCCACTTGGTAAAGAAAACCAGTCTCTCTTATTAGCCTGGAAGGGGATGCATTTGGTATTTTGTGTTTTGTATAGTGACCTTGTGTGTGTCTGTGCTTAGACATAGTTATGAATTGATTTTGTTTCTGTTTATGTTCTTTGTTTCACATCATCATGGTCACATGGTGACCATGTCAGATCCTGGTATTCTGTGAGATTGTTTCTATTTGGTAACAGAACATTATGCCCTTAACTGTGAAGGGCAGTCCAGCTCCTCACAATACCAATAATTTGCTGTTAGAATCAGTCAGTTCCAGGGTGGAAGGATCTGCTTTTCTCTTCTCAATAGTGGTGATGATAGTGATGTCATAACAAATATTGTGTCTGGTGCTGATGTTGTGGCAGGTACTGTTTAAACTGATTGATGCATTTTAAATCATTTAATCCTCACAACATGAGTCTGATTTTCTCGTTTTATAGATGAGGATATTACAGATGAGGACATAACTTACCCAAAGTGACAAAGCTGGTAACTTGTAGCCAGCAGATAGATCAGCTCCTTCTTACACACTATGCCATACCTTCCCACCTGCACTTGTCTCAGGGACTTGGCCTCTTATATTGCACCACATTCCTTGATTCTCACAGGCACAAGTCCACAGTGCCTTGTCTTCTGCTCATACTGGGTCCCTCTTGCCTCTTGCCCTAGGATATCTCTGCTGCCACTCAAGCCCACTTGACTACCCTGGAAGGGCAGGTGAGTGAAAGCTTTGGAGCACATATTTAATGAATGGTGTACAGAGCTGGTATCTATTCTTAATTTTTTCCTCTGCATGGAGTATCTTGAAATAGAATAGTGTCTGCAGATTCTTGGCAGACTCTCCTGCAAGGTCGAACAAGGAAACATGCTGGACAATATTGAATATTTGCTCTCTCTACTCTAATGACTCTGCTTCCCTGATATGTGTGCTGTGATAGCCAGTAGCATACAAGTGTTTGCACCGGGTTCTATTTTTCAAGGAACCAGGGCAGTCTGGCTCCAGAGTGTGAAAAGCCCACCTGCATTTTCCAGTCTCCTCCTTGTTTATGCAATAGAGCATAGAGTTTTGAAGACCTTAGCTTTAGAAAATGATAAACAACTGTTAAAGTCTAGATATTGCCACTATGAAGCAATATTACCTTGAATAATTTATTTAATCTCTCTTACCACGTCTGAAAAATAGGGAATAAGAGTACTTACTTCCAATAGTATTACTTTCCTACAAAATTATGACAAATTTAACAATGTTTTCTGTGATTAGCGCATTGCCCGACCTATAACACATCAATATAATTTTTATTGTCGTTAGTAATTTCCCTCAAAACTTGCTCCTTTTCCTTTATT
Source organism: Homo sapiens (assembly GCF_000001405.40). Lineage (NCBI taxonomy): Eukaryota > Metazoa > Chordata > Mammalia > Primates > Hominidae > Homo > Homo sapiens. Next base: position 164,754,236 of record NC_000005.10, read on the forward strand.
CCTACATTTGTTGGTCTTAACACTAGTTTATTACCTAAACTAAACAGCTCTTAAGGTAGTAATTGACTCTTCTATCTGCTTGAACTCCTTTTTTTTTTTGAGACAGGGTCTCACTCTGTCACCCAGGCTGGAGTCCAGTGCGTGATCTTGACTCACTGCAACCTGCACTTCCTGGGCTCAAGCGATCCTCCCGTCTCAGCCTCTAGAATAGCTGTGACTACAGGCTCATGCCACCATGCCTGGCTAATTTTTATGTTTTTTTGTAGAGACGGGGTCTCTCTATGTTGCCCAGGCTGGTCTCAAACTCCTGGGTTCAAGTGATCTGCCTTCCTTTGCCTCCCAAAATGCTGGAATTAGAGGCATGAGCGACTTCACCCGACCTTCAACTCTTTCTTCTCCCAAATTTTCACGATATAATTCGTCAGTAAATCAATGTTTATTTTGCCTCTGAAATTTCCTCTCACATATGCTTTTCATGATCCTTTTATCTTCCTTTTGATAGCCCTAGTCCAGGCCTTTCCAGCATCATACCATAATTTGCAATAATAGAATACCAAGCCAAGTGATCTTTCTGCCTTCTTGCCTTTAACTGTCAAATCTACCTTCTACTTTGCTGTTGGTATTTTAAAACAAAGCCCCATTTTAACAATAATAACTTGGTATTATAATTGATTATTTACTTACTTCTCTGTTTCTCTCTGCCAGGGTTTATCCAGCCCTTGGTGCTATTGAAATTTTAGGTTAGATAGTTATTCATTGTTGGTGGGGAGCTGTTTTTTGCATTGTAGAATATGTAATAGCACCTCTGGCCTCTATTCACTACAACAATGGCACCCGCCCTCAGTTAGGACAGAAAAATATCTCTGGACATTGCCAAATGTTCCCTAAAGGGCAAAATTGACCCTGATTGAGACTGCTGCTCTAAACTGTGAGTTCTATACAGACAAGGATGTATTTTATTGTCATAAATCTCCAACACCAAGCACCATATTAGGAATATTATTGGTGTTTAATACATACTTTTGAATAAAGAAATCAATGAGTTGAATCTATGAAAGCTTCTTTTTAAATATCATAAGCTACCCTACTTTTATCCATGCTTCCATAGCTTTAAAAAAATTGTTTTTGCTGTGCATATGTGTTTACCAAATTACACTATATGATTTCATTATATCCCTGGTACCCACAGAATGAATGGAATATAGTAGTTGCTCAGTAAATACTTACTGAATTAGTCTATAAATATATTTAGACCACATTTTTTTTTCTTTTTAAGGTACTATATAATAACAATTTCATGCTTACATAGATAGCATGCAGTACTTCCCCTTTCTAGCACTTGTGCCAAATGTAATTAACAACTAATTGTGTGTGTACTTAATTGTTTCATATCTGTCTCCATAAATTATGTGAGGGTGAAGATTATGGCTGCCTTTTTTGTTCTGCTTCCCAAGGGGCTAACATAGAACCTTGTACAGAGTGCATATTTAGTAAATTTTAAGTCCTTGTCAAATACGTGAATTAATTACTTAAACAAATTCATGCTGCCTCTAAGTGAAACAGAAAACTTAGGTACTTAGAGAATTTGGCTACATATAAACACCATGGTTTACTGATTAGTATGATACAGCAATCTTTGAGTCTATGTTATATTTTGAAATTTTTCCAAAGTTTTCATCTCTGTCAAATTAGTGGAAAAGTAATTTGTGCCTCTAAATCACTTAATAAAATAGAGAACTTGAGGCTGTCATAAGTCAATACAGTTGCCTGATATCTCAGATTTGCAATCTTCTGTAGCTCAACATATTCATTTTTTTCCCCAGCACTAATGAATTAGCCCGTAATCTTAATTGACATACTGACCTTGAAAAGTCCAGAAAATAATCTCATCTGCCAGCCTCATTATCTGTGGCTTTATTAGCTGGGGAAATTTGGTAATATAATATGAAACAAAAATAATTAATCTGCATATGGATGTTATAAATTAGACTTCTATCAAATAAAATTAATAATTGTAATCCTTAACACTGGATACCATAAAAACAGTTTGGTCTTATATTCCTAATAAAAAATAAATAGCCTTGTTCTGTAATTGTCTTAAACTACTTATTACCTCATAATTTTTTAATTTCCAAAAATAATTTATAAGCATTTTAGAGGACAGAATATTGTTTAAAATCCTAAATTTAGTGTCTTTAGAGAAATATTTGTACATCACAGAAAAACCAGCATGCTATCTTAACGAATATTAGAACTAAGAGGGAGAAAATCTCTTCTCATATACATGGCTTTATATTTTCTTTCCTTACCATGGAATCCTGTTGTTCCCAATCAGATCCCAGTTTCAGAATATGCAATAGACATTCATGCTATAAAAGCTAAAGCTCAAAATTGTTCAGGAGAAGCTAAGCTATGGTCTTTCATTTGATGAGAAATTGGAAGCAAAAGATCATAATAAACAGCTTCCAGTGAATGATCTCTAATGGAAGTATGCCATGCTTTTTTATTAACTGGCTTAGAATATTCTGATAGAAATATTATGTCAAAACAAATTTGAAAGTGATCCTAACCACAAACAATCATATTAGGCAATGGTTGACTCTTATATATTGTGCATAACTTAATGAAAAAGGCAATCATTCCTCACAAAAGGGTTCGACTGTGTTCCCAATAGCAAGTAAAAATTACAAAAGTAATAAATTGTCATTTCAACTTAAAAGCTACTGATATTTATGTGGACATTTTATTTTAGCTCAGAGTCTCTATTATATATGCTTTCAGTTCTTTTTAGCTTCTTGCAAATACACCAGTAATTTTCAGAACAAAAATGAAGTATTCCTTTTTTGTGTCCATTGCCACTAGGGTCAAATCCAAATTCCCAAGATACTAATGGTCTGTCTTCTGTCTACCTCCCTAACTTCACTCTTATTTGATCCTTTGTTCCTATCCCTGTAGCACTAACCTAATATCCCAGACTCACAGTCTCCCATAGTCCATCATGTTCATTTTTTCCCCAGCTTTATTCTGTGTAGCTCCAAAGAATACATCCATAGTGCTTAAACATACAATATTTCTGGTTGCGCTGTCTTCTCTGCCTGGAATGAAGCCACTGTTGTTTGTCCCTCTGGAAAATTCTTTCTTGTCTTTCAAATCTGAGCTCAAGCCACCAGCGTCTCCTCTCTGAAGCTTTCGTTGACTTCCAGGTGGGCTTAGCTGCTCATTCCTACCTCCTTCTATGACAATGTTTCCTACCATCTCTACTGGAGACCAGAGTATTAAAGGTATTAGTGTCAAGATCAAAGGACCCTGTAGTGCCCCTTGCCTCTGCGCTGATCTCAACATCTGTAGAAAATATCTCCAGTTCTTGACATGGCTATTTTAGAGCAACATTGATGAACTGGAACATGTTCAGAGAAGAAAAGGATCTTAAAACCATAATATCATGTACTTCCATTCCTGCAGTTATAAAGTGGGGTGATTAATATCTGAGGCTATTCTAAGATTAAAATAAAATAACACATATAAATACTTTAAGTTGAAAAGTGAGTTTTGATAAATATATTCCATGCCAGTTTACCAACTTTATTCTTCTTCTGTTTAATGGCCAACCTCTTGAGAGAATAGACTCCCCGGTATGCATTCAGTTCCTCTGATCATAAATAATAATATATTAAAAATATTATTTTCCCCTCCCTCCCTCCCTTCCTCCCTTCCTTCCTTCCTTTTTTCTTGACAAGATTTCTTTCTGGCACCCAAGTTGCAGTTCAGTCATGAGATCTCAGGTCACTGCAGCTGCAACTTCCTGAGCTCACCCTCCTCCCACCTCAGCCTCCCGAGTATCTGGGACTATAGGCACACACCACCATGCCTAGCTAATTTTTGTCTTTTTTGTAGACACAGAGTTTTGCCATGTTACCCAGGCTGGTCTCAAACTCCTGGGCTCAAGTGATCTACCTGCTTCGGCCCCCTAAAGTGCTGGGATTGCAGGCATGAGCCACCATGCCTGCCCCCAAAATACTGTTTTCTATTATTGATATTTTTTATTATTTTATTTTTATTTCCATGATTAGGACACAAACTTCTTAATGGCAAGAACTTGTAAAATTATTTCCATGTCCTTTAATACTAACACATTAATACAAGGCTTATAAGACACAGACTTTGAAGGGCTATGAAAAAGAATGGAAGAAATGGAGTTTCTTCCGCCAAGGGGAAACAATATTGTGTTCTTTCAAAGAGCTAAGGCTGTCATATACAAGATGATAACTTCATTCTGTGTAGCTCAGAAGAAAAATATGGGTAGCTGATTTCATATCAAGATTGGGAAGATACTGAAAATATTAAAAAAGACACGCAAATAGTTTGTTATCCCAATATCCAAATAACCTCTGCTAATTTAAATACATAAAAAATAATTATTACAGATGATTAAAACATAAAAATAAGAAAGGTATAAACTAAAAATAAAAGCCTAATTTTACCTTTTTAGAAACCATTATTTACAGATTTGCAAAAAGGTATTATACATATAATTATACATATATTATAAGGTACATCCTTAAAACATTTTACACTATTTTACACTGAAGGTATTCTCCTTATTCCCTGATCTGAGCCTTGACACAGACACACACACACACACACATACACATATACACACACAAATATATAATTTACATTTATATACACACATAGACAGAGACACACATGTAGATATTGATATGGTTTGGCCTTGCGTTCCCACCCAAATCTCATCTTGAATTGTAATCCCATAATCCCCACGTGTAATGGGAGGAACCCGGTAGGAGGTAATTGAATCCTGGAGGTGGTTTCCCTCATGCAGTTCTAGTGATAGTGAGTGATTCTCATAAGATCTGATGGTTTTATAAACACCTGGCATTTCCCCTGCTGGCACTTGTCTCTCTTGACACCCTGTGAAGAGGTGCCTTCCACCAGGATTGTAAGTTTCCTGACGCTTCCCCAGCCATGTGGAACTGTGAGTCAATTAAACCTCTTTTCTTTATAAATTACCCAGTCTTGGGTATTTCTTCATAGCCCTTCAAAAGGGTGAGAATGGACTAATACATATACGTATTGATATATATATATCTGAATATATGTATATAGATATATATAACTGAGTATATATATTGATATATATAACTGAATATATATATTGATATATATAACTGAGTATATGTATATATATATTCAGTTCTAGTTCCTTACTGGTGAGCATTAAATTACTGAGTTTATTCATTAATATAAACAGTTTTGTCATGAGCAGTCTTATATATGATACTTTGTAGTCTTGGAGACCTTTTTTAAAGATTTAATGTTAAAAGAAAACCAAAGAAATCGACTTCCATGTGGATTAACAATTTTTTCATTTATGTAACTTTTCAGACATTTTTCTTGAAGATATTTCAGCATTGATGTCAGGCTAGACTGAATGATCTCTATGTTCTCTTCTTTATTCTAATATAATAATTATCACATGAATCAATGTTTCTAAGATTTAGCTATATTATTGCCATAATATGAAGAGCTTTTAGAAAGCAATATTGCCCAGGTCCCAGACTGATGAATTAAATCAGCATCTCCAGAGGTGTGGATCAGTCTTCTTTAGAAGTTCCTGGGTTATTCTAATGCACATTCAGTGTTGAGAATTACTGACAGAAAGGCCAAGTTATTAACATTATTTATCAAAATATTTTTCTAATGGCAGCAGCAAAGGTATAAGAGCTTTGAGGAATTGATTTTATTCTCTTCTAGCAAGATATGAGTGAGGTGGGTGTGACAGTAATTTCAAGTGCAGAAATAAACTAGAAAGAACTTTAGGCAATGCCAGCACAGGGCTTTGGTAAATGCTGGTCAGTTTTTCAGAGCATAACCTCCTTTCCTTTTTCCTCTCTGAGCATGCCTTACACAGAGGAGAAAAGGGCCCATATGTGCCTTTTCTCATTGTTATTCATTGGTTCAAGGAAGCTGAGATGGGCATCTCAGTTTATTCAATCATTGGTTCTCTACAAGAAGGTTAGGAATCATCTCTGTGTATCAGAACTGATATGTCACAATGTCCATCAGAAGAGATTAGTAGGTTTCTGTCAGGGTATATGCTGCAGGGTAGAATGAAACCTGAAGCTGGGTTAAATAATTGGGTTCTTGTTCAATAAAAGTGCTTGTTTGTGCTGTGTAATGAAAGATCTTTGGTGCATTGGATGTCTGAATCCAAATACCCTTCGGATTTTCTGATGGATAAAGAGATAATGGTGAAAGGGATTTAATTTAGAACTATTGAAAAACTTTAAAAAGATTAGAAAAATTGGTAAATGCACTTTCTTTTTTAAAATCCAGATTCTTTGTTACTTATCAGGAACTCTTATATTTTTTAAGTTGACAATAAAACTGTTTTGTTGGTTTTGTTTTTGTTGCTTTTTTTTCTTTTTTGATCTGTTTGCCATCATTAACTGACCTTTGAGATTCAGGTTATGAAGAAGATAATGGAGAAGGTGTTATCTCCTAGCCCATGTACCTTAACCTGAATTTAGGCAGTGTTATTGCCTTTGGGTCTCATTGGATTGTCACATCTAAGCTGTGGGCAGAGCATTGGTGAATGGAACAAACTGCATGTCTTGCTTCAAGTGATGCTTTTTTCCCCATTAAGTCAATACTCCAGTACATCTAAGCTTCCGTTAAAAAAAATCAACATTTAAACCAGCTTTTTTCTTTAAGAGCACACCAAAAACATTTCTAATCCAGAAAATTGATGTGACAATCAGAATGCTATGCATGTGCAGTGGTGGGTGGAATTTGATGAAATACATTAATATCAGCAGTAAAATCATTCATGTGCAGCGTTGTCTCAGCTAATTTTAAGCAAAGATTATTTGAATCTATTTACTTTATTCAGGATAAAATTATATTAGAAAATGAAAAGTAAAGACTTTTCTTTTCCTTCTCCTCATATTATTAACACCTGATTAAATAAAAGGCTTTATTTGGAAAAAAAAAGTCATGGATTTCACAACTCCAAGGAAACAGTGAAGGGAACCCACAACGTGTACGGGGTATGAAAAACAAGCCATTGACTGAGCAGCATCTGTATTTAAGCTCCTTACACCATGTAGCACTTTCAATGGGTTTTAATCCCTGGTGCAAATCATATACTTCTTTGCCCACTGAGCCTCATTTCATATCTGGCACACCATACTCTATAACCCTTCCTTTACTGAGTAATCTACTTTTCCACACTTCATCTACCTCTGCTTTTCTGGGTTTCTCTCTCCTTCCCTCCCTTTTCTCCTGTGATGTTAGAAAACATACTAAGATCAATTTGGGAGTCAGGAGTCAGAGTTCTAAGAGATAGTTGTCTAGCAAGCCACGTGAAACAGCAGAGCTAGGAAGTAAGCACATGGGGTTGAAGCCTCTAGACTGGGCAATAGAGATATAGAGTGAGACTCTGTCTCAGAAAAACAAAACAAGTTACCCTCAGTTCAAGGTTTCATTTTGTCTTAATTAGACTATTGAAATTATCTTTCAAGATCCTTCTTGCAAATTCCAGTAGACTTCTCGTCTTCTGCTGGCCAGGTATCTTGCTCAGTATTCCTATATTACTCTTTTTTATTTATCCAATCAATTATGAATGTCTTATTTTGGCACTCAAGATTGTCCTTAGTGGCCGGGCATGGTGGCTCATGCCTGTAATCCCAGCACTTTGGGAGGCCGAGGTGGGCAGATCACCTGAGGTCAGGAGTTCAAGACCAGCCTGGTCAACATGGCGAAACCCCATGTCTACTAAAAATACAAAAATTAGCTGGGAATGGTGGCAAGCACCTGTAATCCCAGCTACTTGGGAGGCTGAGACAGGAGAAGTGCTTGAACCCAGGATGTGGAGGTTGCAGTGCCGAAATTGTGCCACTGCCCTCTAGACTGGGCGATAGAGATATAGAGTGAGACTCTGTCTCAGAAAAAGAAGTTACCCTCAGTTCAAGGTTTCATTTTGTCTTAATTAGACTATTGAAATTATTTTTCAAGATCATTCTTGCAAATTCCAGTAGACTTCTCATCTTCTGCTGGCCAGGTATCTTGCTCAGTATTCCTATATTACTCTTTTTTATTTATCCAATCAATTATGAATGTCTTATTTTGGCACTCAAGATTGTCCTTAGTGTCTGGGCATGGTGGCTCATGCCTGTAATCCCAGCACTTTGGGAGGCCGAGGTGGGCAGATCACCTGAGGTCAGGAGTTCAAGACCAGCCTGGTCAAGGTGGCGAAACCCCATTTTACTAAAAGTAAAAAATTAGCCCAGCATGGTGGTGTGCACCTGTAATCCTACCTACTTGGGAGGCTGAGGCAGGAGAATCACTTGAACCAGGGAGGTGGAGGTTGCAGTGAGCCGAGATCACGCCACTGCACTCCAGCCTGGACAGCAATAGCAAGACTCCTTCTCTCCTTCTCAAAAAAAAAAAAAAAAAAAAAAAAAAAAATTATTCTCCTTAGCTAGACCCAATATTTGAGTATTTAATTTTCTTTCTTGACCTTTACATGCTTCAATCTCTAGTCTCTAATTAAATTATATACATTAATAGAGTATTCAAGGCCTCACCCATGACGTTCAGTCAACATGGATTGCTTTTGTGATTAACAGATTTGCTACAGTTCTACTCATTTATCAAGACTTAGTTTAAATGACATTTCATCCATATTTTTTTTTCTCATTTATACTCTTCCCATTGTTCCCTACTCATTACCAACTACCAACATAGAGACACCATCATAATTAATTGCTAGTTTTTTCTGTGTTTGTTCCTGTGTCACTGAAAATGCACAGCACCTTATAACATATTTATTCAAATGTGTAACCACCCAATGGGTTCACCTTGCCCACTGCCTAGACAGAGCCAATTTATCAAGACAGGGAGATTGCAATAGAGAGAGAGTAATTCACACAGAGCTGGCTGTGCGGGAGACTGGAGTTTTATCATTACGCAAATCAGTCTCCAGAGCATTTGGGGATCAGAGTTTTTAAGGATAATTTAGTGGGTAGGAACTTGGTTGGAGATGGAATCCTAGTAGTGTCAAAGTGAGTTTTTCTTGCTGTTTTCTGTTCCTGGGTGGGATCACAGAACTTGTTGAGCCAGATTAGCCATCTGGTGGTGTCAGCTGGTGCACTGGAATGCAGCGTCTGCAAAATATCTCAAGCAGTGATCTTAGATATGACAACAGTGATGTTACTCCCAAGAGTAATTTGGAGAGACTCAGACTCTTGCAGCCAGTGGCTGCATGGCCCCTAAACTGTAATTTCTAATCTTGTAGCTAAATTGTTAGTCCTACAAAGGCACATTGGCCCCCATTCAAGAAGAGTTCTATTTTTTTTTTTTTTTCTTTCGGGAAAGGGCTATGATCAGTTTTGTTTCAGAGTCAAACCATAAACTAAATTCCTTCCCAAGGTTAGTTTGGCCTACACCCAGGAATGAATAAGGACAGCTTAAAGTTTAGAAGCAAGATGGAGTTGGTTAGGTCTGATCTCTTTCACTGTCATAATTTTCTCAATTCTAATTTTTGAAAATGCGGTTTCAGATGCGTATCTGTCATGAACCATGTTATAGGAACAGTCTCTTTTAGCTCCTGATGTGCTCACTACTCTAAATAACTGTAGATTTATTAAACCCTTTAAATACTTATTGTAGAGAATACAGATAAATAAAGTGTTTTTCTTACATTTATTTTTTAAAGGGCCTTGTTAGATTATTGGAAAAAAACATTTTATTAAGAATGTATTCAATGCCTTCTATAGATGAACTTACATTCTGTCATGAAAAAAAACAACATCTATTTTCAAAGGCAGAACATTTTCAGTTTTTTGTTAATAATGAGAAATACTTTAACTTCCTATTTTTTAGTCAGAAGTGGAACAGTATTATTTATCATGCATTGATTTGTTGTCTCTGAACTTACAAATGTGGTTTGGCTACTTACAGTCAGTGTAAGATGTTATATATCTTCAGCGTTGCTGATGAGGCCGATTAGAATAACACTGTTGGGAACTCTTAGGTGGCAAAAGGGACATTTCATAGAGGTAATCATGGACATAAAAGAAGGATGATATGGAAAGATATAACATGGCTTTAAATGTACACTTTCTTCCAGCCCAGCTGAGGTCATACCATTCTGTACAGAAATCTATATAGAATCAAGTTCCAAAATTCTTACTCTGTGATGACGATTATACTTTGAAATGGTTTCTATTTATAACAGGAATCAACATCTGATCTAATGAATCCTAAATATGCTAGAACGATTTAAACATTTGGAAGCTGAAAAACTGAGGAGTATGAAAGACATGTAATCACTCTTTTCAGCTTTAGTTTGTATATAATGTAGTTAATGCTTATTATGAGTTTATTATAAATAATAATTTTCTTGTGTTATAAGTAAAGGAATACACAACTGATTATTTCTTTAGAATATAAAGTTAAAATAATTAACAAAATTGTCTTAGTACATTTATTCTGTATACAATTCAGAACAGCACAGAATCCACTGGTATGGAATGAAGATGTTTTATGATCCATATCATATTGCTGCAAAATAATTATTTAATGCTATCTAATCTTCAATCAAAATCACATTTGTTATTAATTTTTATTTATTGAAATATCTTTAATAGATTTTATATTATTATAAAATCATTAATAAAATAATTAATATTAATATTACTGATAAGTAATTGTCGAGGTAATGCAATTAAAACACTTAGCAAGCTGTGTTACACAAAGTAAGCTCTCAATAAATGTTTCTCATTGCTATTACCATTATTTATTTTAATGGCTGAATGCTATAGCATATAATTTATTTAACAGATCCCCTGTTAAAGGAAATTGCTCCTAAAATTCAAATTAATTTTTAATTAAGTTTTCCCAATTAAATTTCTGGATTTAATTGGGCTTATTGATTCAGGTTTTTTGGTGAATGAATATCATGTTCTATATTTTTCACATGATTTCTAGAAATCAGTACATACTATATACAAAAACTATTCTGAAACCAATTCTATTTTTGATGATTCAGTAATCACTCTAGTGTCTCATTTAGATTTTTTTGTTTGTTTGTTTGTTTTAGATGAAGTCTCACTCTGTCACCCAGGCTGGAGTGCAGTGGCGCCATCTTAGCTCACTGCAACCTTCGCCTCCTGAGTTCAAGCAATTCTCCTGCCTCAGCCTCCCAAATAGCTGGAATTATAGGCATGGGCCACCACGCCTGGCCAACTTTTGTATTTTTATTGGAAACGGGGTTTCACCATGTGGATCGGGCTGGTCTCAAATTCCCGACCTCAGGTGATCCACCCGCTTTGGCCTCCCAAAATGCTGGGATTACAGGTGTGAGCCACTGCGCCCAGCTAGGGTTCTAATTTTGACCTCTAGTTTCCATTGTGCTATTGATGTATGCAATCATTAATAATGTATTCTTACTGCCATAAACAATAATATAAAATGAATGTAAATAAGGAATAATTTGAAAATAATTTTTCTTAGCTGATGAAAATAGCTTTTTACAGGTGTTCCCTCAGAAATCCCAATTTTCTTAACTAGCAGATTCTATTGTTAATGTTTATATAGGTGTCACTGATACTTCCTTCACTTATTATATTTATCTCTCCCTCTGCTTCCAAGATGGTGCCTTGTTGCTGCCTTCTCGCATGGTGGAAGGCAGACACACAAAAAGGCATGATGATGTTCCCTTCAAACTCTTTTACATTTATTAGGGAGAAACCTAATGACCTCATCACTTCCCCAAAGACCCCCCCGCCCCCGCTTTAGTACTATACCATTGGGTATTAGGTTCCAACATATTAATTTTAGAAGGATGTTCTAAAATTCATTCAAATTTATTTTACTTCATTTAGTATATATTGACAAATCATCCTTAATAACTTAAAGACATATACCATTTGCTATGATAGGTGATCTATAAAATACTTATTTTAATTCATCTATTTATCTAATTATAAATATTTGCATCAAAATATGAGTTATTTTGAGAATTTGAGAATTTGAGAATTCAAATATCATGACAGAGTAAGTATATTTGATGGGATCATAGTTCTTACACTTAAGGAATAGGAAAAAATAAAATTAATGTTAATATACATAACAGTTCTTTCTCTTCTTTCTTGGAGATTTCTGTGAGTCAATAAACTTCTATTGTTGCTAATCAATTAAATTGCAATGAAAATATATTCATTTATTTTTCCAAGTGAGGAAGTTTTTCTTTATGGCAATCAATGCAATATTTTCTAGCTTTTGAAAGGTTTTTAGTCTTTTAAACTTTCCATGAACAATGTTATTGGTAGTTTATTGTCTTAATTTTACAGTTGTCATTTGTGTATAAGCAATTTTATGTACTGATACTGCCAATCTTCTCAGACTAGTTTATGTTATATTCATTCTTCATACATAGTTTTTTCTCTCCAGATACATTGTCGCTTTTATGAGCCTGGACATCAAACTTTTAATTATTTCATAATTTGATGTATAACTAATACGGAATTGTGCATTCAAACAGTATGGAAAAAGTACCTACTAAATGAATAAAAATGTAATAAAATGTGATCCATAAAACAAATAATTTTTTAAAAAACCTTATGTTCATCTTGAATCATCTACTCAATTCCACTTATGTGACAGAGAACATTTTCCTGATATAACATAATATAATATAAAGGATACTTTCTATTTGTGTAATATAGATGCTAAAAGCAAATAGCAGGGCTTTGGGCAATAAAAAACTGCAATTTTTAAACAATACAAATCATATATGAGAATCTTCATGGCATTTGGAAAATGAGAGATGAATTATTGGATAAACCAAGAAAAGTTCAATTTCTTTTTAACATGCTCTTCTTCAGTGAATTGTGATTCTTATCACATAGACTCTAGTATCACAGAAGATGATATTATAGAAAAATAGCAGTATTTGCCTCTCTATTACTACTCTCCCCAAGCTAAGTTATCCTCTTTCCCTCAACGATCATTGTCATTGTGACACTACTTGTGAAGAATCAAGGTATTTTAGGTCAGTATTCTATAATAAGTCACTTGTAGTTCTATTCTGAAAAATTGACTTGCTATGACCTGTGTCCTGTGAATTTTTGGTAACTAGATCCCAATTTTAAGCCACTTTTGCTTAGAACTCATTAGTTTCTAGGCTTCCCAACTTCAGAGTCTTAAATCCTGCCTCTATCCATTAGTCTTGGTAAGACCCTGTTCTCTGATATTCCTGATGCTTTCCTACCTGCGCTTATTTGCTTTCTTGTCCCCTGGAATATTCTAATGATGCTTCCTTCAAAGTAGCCCTTCTCCATGTTCTGTATGTCTATTGAGTTACCCTTTCCCTCTGTATTAGATTTCCTTTATGGAGTTTATGCCAACAGCCTAATAGAGCTTACCAGATCTTTTACCACGCCCTCTCAATCTTATTCACTGAGATTTATGCATAAAATAAAAATCTCATGTCATCCTACAAAATACTGACTAAAACAATCAAAGGTATACAAAGAAGAGTATCTATGCTAGCTGTGGAATTTTGTGAAGGACGCATGGCAGTCACTAAATATGTTTGCAACAGATAATGCAGACAAGGACAGACAAGCAAAATGGAGGCAGAAAAAGTGTGGTGAATCGGCTTTCAGTAGAGGTTTGACACATCCCTATTCACTAACTTGGTATAAGATCTAGCAGCCAAAAAAAAAAAAAAACACCAAAGAAACAAAACAACAACAACAAAAACCCAGAAAAATGTGTGTCTCTCCCTTAGAAGTCGTTTAAGCACTTTAGATCAATGAGTTGGATGAATCCCCTAAGAGCACTCATGGCCACTGGAAACAGTGAACTGGTTGGAAACATCATCTTGATGTAGTACAGCTTGCCTGTGATCCACTGGACAGTGTCACCAGAATGAGGATCCCACACAGTCAAACCACTTACCTGGACTTGATGTCAGGTCAAACAGAAAACTAGAAAGAATAAACTAGCAGTTTTGTCAAATCCAGAGATAACACTTCACACTTTGGGTCTGCCTATAAACCAGTATCCTGCTTAGTCTTACCAGCTTCTAGATTCTAAGACTAGTAATGGAAATGGAAATGGAAAGATTGGTAATGGAAATGCAATTAAACAGCTCTGTAAAGAAACTCATTGTTGGAGAATTACCTATGCACAGTGAAGCATCTTTCCTATTTTGGCAGGAAAACCATGACTCTTGCTTGTTATTAAGAAACATTTTTTAAAAGAAAAAATAATGAAAACAGTAAGTCTATACATTCTTTTGGCAAAAAATGAAGAATATAAGATTCAAGAGACAAAATTTTTAAATAAATATTAACTAATGACACAAAGCAAAAGAAAGAGCTGACAAAAAATACCTGGCTTATGAGTTGGACATTTCAAAAACAAATGTTAGGAAATGAATGTTTCACCCAAATATTACAAAATTGGGGGAAAAGGGGCAGACTATATTCTAGAAAGTTTAATCAGAAAATTTATAGAGGATGAGTTTGAGAACCTTTCTCAAATTACAGAGAGAAAAAATGATAAAAATAGTGAGGAAGAGGTTGGTAAAAGGAAAAAAAATTTAATTTATAAAAAATATATTCCTGGACAAGAGACTTGAATAAATTGAAGAAAGAAGATATAAAAGATGAACTGTAAAATGCTGAGACCAGTTCTATCATGGAGACCCTTACCCAGCAGCGCTAGAGAAATTAAAGATGTACACACAGAAATATAGAGTGTGGAGTGGGAATCAGGGAGCTGAGAGCCTTCAGAGCTGAGAGCCACAAACAGAGTTTTACCCACGTATTTATTGACAGCAAGCCAGTGATAAGTATTGTTTCTATATAGATTAACTAAAACAGGAAACAAAGGGATGGGCTCTGGCTAGTTATCTGCAGCAGGAACATGTCCTTAAGGCACAGATTCCTCGTGCTATTGTTTGTGGTTCAGGAACGCCTTAAGTGTCGTTCTGCCCTGGGTGTGCCAGGTGTTCCTTGCCCTCATTCTGGTAAACCAACAACCTTCAGCATGGGCATCATGGCCATCACAAGCATGTCACAGTCCTGCAGAGATTTTGTTTATGGCCAGATTTGGGGGCCTGTTCCCAACAGTAAAAAAATCCCTCATTAGATTGAATGTCTGAACTTTAGGAGTAATACAGGTAACTGATAGGTGAATAAAGATAAGAAGTCTGAAATGAGAAATTGTTTTATAGAAGTTTTGTTTATGTACATTCCAACAATTTAATCATAGAATTAACTATAAATAATTTTTGAGCTGCAATTACTGCACATAGAATTAAATGTAAGTTCTTTAAGTATAATTAACAGGCTAAAATAAAAAGCCAGAAATTATTCCTAATAGAGAAGATGAGTGATCTTTTAAATAGTCACCAGCACATTTCACATTGCTCATTATATGTGCACATTGTCCTTCAAAAGCAGGAAAATCTAATATAGAAGGTAAAATACAGATGTAAGAGGATGTGAAAACTCAGATTAGTGGCTGAGTGATAGAGACAGAACACAGTGCAGGAATTCAGAGAAGTTGTGTGTATTAGTCTGTTTTCATACTGCTATAAAGAAATACCCAAGAATGGGTAAATTATGAAGGGGAGAGGTTTAGTTGACTCACAGTACCCCATGGCTGGAGAGGCCTCAGAAAATTTACAATCATGGCGGAAGGCAAAGGGGAAGCAAGGACCTTCTTTACATGTTAGCAGCAGAGGGGAAAGAGTGAAGGAGGTGAGCCCCTTGGAAAACCATCAGATCTCATGAGAACTCACTCACCATCACTAGAACAGCCTGGGGGAAAGCGCCCCCATGATCCAATCACCTCCCACCAGGTGCCTCCCTCAACACCTGGCAATTACAATTTCAGATGAGATTTGGGTGGGGACACAAAGTCAAACCATATCAGTGTGTAATCCAAAGTGGTCGTAGAAACCATCAGGACAGACGGGATTTAAGAGTAAGTTTCTGAGTAATTTGGGTTTAAATTCTACCTCTGTCCTACACTAACTTGAGACCATAGACAAGTTATCTGATTTCCCTGGGCCTCATTTCCTTGTCTGTGAAAAGGGAAACAAAACATATTGTGTCATGGGCCAATTACAATGACTGACTGAGATATTCTGTGAAGAGCATCTGAAACATATCTGGCACATGATAAACCCTTAATAAAATCCTCATCGATACCTGTTTCTGTTGTGTTGTTGTCATATAATAGGGCTATATGAAGGAATATCTTGGCAGGGTTTGCTGTATAAGCTAAGTTACTTCACTGGCAGAGTTATGATGCATTAGGAACCAGTGAGGAGCTAGTTATAGGATACAACTGTGTCCTGTATTTGAACCTCAGATATGATTTTTGTTTGACATATCTTAAAAATGCCACTGACTCTGATTTTTTATAATCTGCACCATTCTGTGTAGTCCTAGACTCAGATTTATAGAAGCATTTTATTTGCCTCATTCAACTTTAAAAAGCCCAGGATGTTCTATGTCTATAGCATAAACTTTAATTGTTATTAAAAATGCAGGTATACCTGGGAAGTGAAGCACTTCAACCTATCCCTAGTCATTTTCTAATATTTTGATTGTGAATATAGATTTTAATACAAGACTGAATACAGATTTGGGTGGTCACATGTGAGAGTGGCAGGTGTATAGGGACCGGACCATGAAGATACTAACATTCAACAAAGTGCCCATCGCAGAGAGAGGCAGATGTGTAGAAGCACAGGCTGGGGAATTGAGGACAAGTTTGCCTGATCCAATCTTTCTTAAATAGGGCTGAGGGATGCATCTGAGTCAACTAACACAATAATTTGTGTATTTTCATTTTGTCATTAAGTAAATAGGATAATCTTTTCAAAGGCGTTCTTGTTTTACAAAGAGGTCATTTTGTATCATTCATCTAAGGTCATTTACCAATGTTCATTGATTCTTGGTATTGGGATCAGAACCAGGCACACATCAGGAATTTTGTGGCAAAAATAAAGTGCTTCCCTCAAATACCTTCTGAGATTTTATTACATCTTTAAAAATGTATGGGTATATTTATTGAAGTTATGAGACTGTAACAATATAAATCCTGGAGAGCGAGAGTTCAATCTAAACATTAGAAACTTCTTGACCAATTTCCAGTGTTATTCAGAAACCACAGCTTACACGTTTCTACTTATTAAAATAATTTGTTATCTTTTTTCTTTTTGATGAAATGGAAATTATTTTTTCTTCAATTTAATTTTTTAAGCAACTCGACATATAAAGCAAGAATTATAGCAATTTTGAAGATAGGGTAAGGAGCCTGGAGTTTCTTCTCACCTGCTCCCCTCCATCTTCACCCTTTCCCTACTTGGCAATCCCAGAAAGTTATTTGGAACACAGTTCATTTGTTGACAATTTAAATGCATCTTGAAACCTTGTATGGTTTTGGAATTCTGACCCACATGAGAAAGACTCTATTAATATTGGGCTATCCTATTTTAAAAAATGCACTGCCACACAGCTTTTATTAGTTTCCTGTCTTGCATTCTTATTTGTGCTCTGCTACTGACCTACTTTGAGATATTTAATAAATAACTTCTTCTTTCTTTGTTTTTATGCCTCTATTTCCAATTCACTCGGAAAAAAAAACTATTAATCGTACAATTATGATAAAAACAATTTAGTACTTTTTCATAAATCACATATAAGTACATAATACAAACATAAATGGAAGCAATGTTTTTGAAGATTCAGTCACATCAGAAACTGGAGAAGAATTACAGAGAAAATTTGTTCATTTGCATACCCATGCATATGAGCGAGAGGGAGCAGCCCCTAAAATTAATCTTTAGCCTTGCCAATGGTTCCATAACACTCTTGGATATTTGAATACCAAGCCACCTCACATATTCGAAATTGAAATCTCGCTTCAACTGTCAGTTTGAGGTTAATACATTGATCTCAGACTCATAACTATCTTATCCTGTTCTGATACTCAATCCTCGTGTGTGCAGTAGGCTCTGACCTTGAAGCTTGTGTGACCTGGTACTTGAGAATGCTTTTAAGCACTATCAATCAGGTCATGATGAAAGAAGAATGTGTGTGTTTGGAAAATTAGTAACTGAGTAACTGGTAAACTAGAATAGAGTAGATAATGTGAATTAGAAAATCTACTTCATAGACCAATAAATAATTTGGAATGTCTGGATGAAGATCATACTAGAACTGGAAATGCAGGGTAACATTTCAGATTAAAATGAATACATGGTAAATACTAATTGCGATAAGGAAGAGAGTAGGAATTGATTTCTGATACTTGAGTTTAGCAGATTAAGGAGATGCCTGTAAGAAAGAAGTTGGCCGGGCGCGGTGCCTCACGCCCGTAATCCCAGCACTTTTGGAGGCCGAGGCGGGCGGATCACGAGGTCAGGAGACCGAGACCATCCTGTCTAACACGGTGAAACCCCATCTCTACCAAAAATACAAAAAATTAGCTGGGTGTGGTGGCGGGCGCCTGTAGCCCCAGCTAGTTGGGAGGCTGAGGCAGGAGAATGGCATGAACCCGGGAGGTGGAGGTTGCGGTGAGCCGAGATCACGCCAATGCACTCCAGCCTGGGCGACAGAACAAGACTCCCTCTCAAAAAAAAAAAAAAAAAAAAAGAAAGAAAGAAGTTAGAGGTAGAAACCAATTTTATTCAATTTGATTTTATATGGATTATGAGCTCTGTTTATGTGTAAATAAATAAATTGAAGCAGAGATGATCTCTTGCTTATTGTAGATGGCAGACTTTTTTTACCTGAAACTTTAAAGATGGGAGTTGAAGTCAATCTGAGAAAACGACTTGATATAAAGTGAAAGTTGGCCAAGGCATGATTGCTGAAGAACACTAGAATCCAATAGATAGAAGAAAAGCCAGTAATAGAGAGATGGCTGTTGGGAGCTGAGGAGAGGTTGGGTAGCAGAGCAGGGAGCCTGGGAGATGAGGTGTAGGCGTCGAATAAAAGAAGGAGATCTTAGGAATACGCAGTCCCTGAAGCAGAGAGAGGAGGCTTTCAGGGAGATCCTGGTCAAAAGAAGTTAGACAAAGAAAAAGGTCTCTATTTGGGAGGAATAATTTCCATCAATTTGCATAAAGCTGCTGCTTCGGTCAAATAGTTTGTCTCCTGCTACAAATTTCACTTTTTATCTCCATGTTTTCATTTCCTTAATTTAAATCCTTTTCCCTTTCCTTTGCACTTTATTATGGGCCTTTCCATTAGAAATGCCTACAAAAATCTATTCTTTCATGATTGATACCTTTCTGTTAAAGTTGTAAAGGACCTATTCTGTAATAGTTACACATCTTGTAACAATTTTAATTTGAAATTGGATATATATTTTTATATATGCATATATCCTCATTGAAACATCATACACATTATAACACAGCTTTCTGTTACAAACCCTAGTAAAGTGTTTTGATAGGTTGAAAAGTATCAACTTAAAATTGACATCGATATACATATAAGATAATTTCTCTAAGCTCCCTCTCTCTTTCTCCTTTGGAACTTAAGACCTGACTGTATAGCATAAAATATATCATGACTTATATTGTGAAATGTATTGTTTTATTATAATATGGAGATCTCACTGTACTATGAGTACATGCAAGGTGAGAATGTCACAGAGGGCAACGCTGAAGGTACACGTGCAAACAATGGCTTCACTGTATCCAGTTAATGTTCTTGTGTGAGACAGAAACAGCCTTTAGTGAGTTTTACAGTATGAGTAACATTAACCCAAATATAACCAGGCAAGTAAGTTGGAAAGTGTGTGCAGGGAGAGAAGAGATAGAGTGTGTGATAAAAGGAAGACTAATTTTCTTTGGAGTTGTTTCAGAATGCTCTGACCATGGAGGTTATGCTTTGCCTCATTGATTGGTACAGATGGTTGTCTACATAATCAGAGCAATATCCAGACCAGGCAGTTATTTATACAGCTCTCAAGTCTACTGTGAGCTTCATCAGTTGACTCCACTACTTCTTTTACAGTTGTGATGGTTGAAATGTTATTAACGGGATAAAATTCCACCTTGGGCTCTTCCATATTTCTGTCTTGAGATTGGGGCATGTTCTAACATCTGAAGAGAGATAGAAAAGTGAGCTGGAAAAGGAGAAAGCATATCAGCATATCATCCATTTTTTTCTCCAGCCATTCCTAGTAGAAATTCTAGAATGAGAAATTTAACCAAAGTTTTTTAAATAACCAACATGAAGGAACTCTGTATAATGAGAGGTCTTAGAATAAAGTTTGAACATTTAAACCATTTGAACAGGTCTTAGGATAAACTTCATGATAGAGTTGCTGCAATGTAACCAATTGACTACAATGGAGTAAAGGAATAACTTAGAAAAATAAGCCTGCCAATACTAAAAATTTGTGGGTTTTTTTTTTTTTTTTTTTTTTGAGACAGGGTCTTGCTCTCTCACCCTGGCTGTAGTGCAGTGGCATGATCTCAGCTCACTGCAGCTTTCATCTCCTAGGCTCAAGGGATCCTCCTGCCTCAGCCTCCTAAATAGCTGAGACTACAGGTGTACGCCACCCTGCCCGGCTAATTTTCTTGATTTTTTTTGTAGATACGAGGTCTCACTGTGTTGCCCAGGCTGCTCTCAAACTTCTGGGCTAAAGCCATCCTCTTGCCTTAGCCTCTCAAATAAAAATTTGTCTTAAGTCACTATATATTTTGAAAAATTTCCAATGTGGGTATGGTATTACTTTACTTTCATATAACTGTCTTTGGTTATCAAAGATTGGCTAGCTATGAGAAGATTTAGAAGCATTTCTGCTGCATTCACCAACTTTTATTAGAAATCCTCCCAAAATTATTAATTATGTATTCTTGAGATAATCATACTACCTCACCATAGAGCTTGCTTAGGTTTTCAGCAAGATTAGTAATTTCAAACTACAAAGAGGGGCTAAGACTCATCTACCTCTCCCATTGTATCTCTTCCTACTTTTTCCCTCTGTCACTGTGCTCCATGAATGCTGTCCTTCTTTTTTTTCAATCATTCTAAGCTCATTCCAATCTCAAGGCATTTCTCCATACTGTTCTCACCATGGGCATTGTTCCCCCAACTCCACTTTTACATGGCTGTCTACTTCTTGTCATTAGATAAAAGCTCAAATCTCCCCCGCTTCCCTGTCCCAAATATTGCCCATGAACACATGCATGCAAAAAATATACATGCATATCTTTTTCTTCATAGTACTCTTATCTTCAGATGAAAGTATCTTTTCTGTTTTCTTTCATTAATCATATGTCTCCATCTATTAGGGCAAAAATTGTGCAGAGCAGTTACTTTGCCTGTCCTCCAGAGTATACATCAGATCCTACTTAGAGCAGGAATTCAGTAAACATTTGTTGATTGAATGTCATCTTTTACCAAGTAAAATAACAGAACTCTATGCCTAGATCCCAAATAAATGTTCTACATTTATATCTTGCTTCGTGTTTTCCTAACATTTTGCTCATTTTTGCTGACACATGTTGGCCATTTCTTTGTTAGCCAATATTAAAATGAACAGGACTTATACACATGTATTTTGTTACTACAGAGACCAGCATAGATTATTATTATAGATACATTGATAAGATGGTAGCAAATTTATGTTAAAATTATGTATATACACTCTTTTTAACTTATGTGTATTATGTGATCTGTAAATTTATTATAAAATTCATCTTAGTTCATTGTGGTTATTTCATAAATATATTTAAATCAATTTGTAGATTTTTATGACTGAAGATAAATGTTGATGCACATATGTGTAGCACGCTTTTGGAGTCCAGAATATTTATTTGTGAATCATTGCATATTTAACTGTCAATGATTTGTATTTAGAAAGCATTTATATTTAAATATGTTTCATATTAGACAACTACCAAATGCCTAAGCCCAACTGCATATTTTAACTTTCCCAAGGATGGTTGAAAGTGTGAGATGGTAATTATCTTTTTTCTGATGTGTTGGTGCTATTAAAATCATATCATGATAACTTATCATTTACATATAAATCTTGTTAAAATTTCAAAGCCCTGTGCTGAAAATATAAAAATAAGCATGTTTAATATAATTGACATAAGATTGCTATTTTCCACAATTTTTCTGAAGGTAATAAGAGAAATCCACTTTTGCTTGCCTCTTCAAACAGCGTTTGAATTCTATCAACATCACACTCCTTTTATCCCCAGTAGCTGAAGTCCCAAAAGACTCTCACCACAAAAATAACATCTGAAATATCAACTCTATGCATATAAATTCAGTTGGAAGGAGAGCACTCTTCATGACTTTAGAGATGTCAATTTTATTACAAACTGTTCCTTCTACACACAGCTATGTGAGCAGGAGAGTATATGTGTGTAAATTAGCGTGTATTTCTTTCATTTGCCATTACAACTCAGGATGTAAAAGAAACATATAAATCCAAGAATACCATGAAATCAGAAACTGTCACAGACACTATATACCTAGTTACATGTGAATTCTTTACATCTTAACTTCTGCATTTATCACAGAGAACTCAGATTAGCAAATGATATATAAGCAGTCATCATCACAAAGGTTGACTCTTCTTTCTTTTTTTTCTCTTGAAATCCTATGATCCAATCAGAAAAAAAAGTCAGGAAGTTCCTGTCCTTCTCTGTCCTCACTCACAGACATTGCACACACACTATATTAAAAATCAGGATTTCTAATTTTTTTCCCTTATGTATTTTTTTAAATTAAAGTTATCATAATAATTCAAACTTAAAAGCATGGTGGTATTTGATTCTACATTTCTCCTCTTCTCACAAATCCATTTAGTAACTGGGGTAAATTAAATCTCTCCACGGCACATATGCATCCACTTCTTGCCAGTCTCATTTGGTCCCCTGGATGAAGACAATTTACCTACATTGCTTTTTATCAGCTCTCCCCTCACCCCTAATCAACCTATCCTATAAAACTTACCAGGATAAAATAGAGCACAGCTGTAATTATGATGCTTGTCATTCTATAAATTCTCCATTATTTGTAATTACAGAAAAGAGAACGCCACACTCCTCTTTTTTTAATCAGTTTTAAGTCAATCATTCATCAATCATTCTTGTTGAAAAATTCAAACAACTGAAAAATACATAGAAGAGGGGATGAAAATCCTTCTTCACTGTCATCCACTTTTTTTTTTTTTTTTTTTTTTTTAGAGGGAGTCTCGCTCTTGTTGCCCAGGCTGTAGTGCAATGGCGCCATCCTGTCTGACTGCAACCTCCCTCTCCCAGCTTCAAATTATTCTCCTATCTCAGTCTCTCCAGTAGCTGGGATTACAGACATGCGCCACCATGCCCGGCTAATGTTTTGTATTTTTAGTGGAGAGAGGGTTTCTCCATGTTGGTCAGGCTGTTCTCAAACTCCCGACCTCAGGTGATCCGCCCGCCTCGGTTTCCCAAAGTGCTGGGATTAAGGGTGTGAGCCACTGCGCGTGGCCCATCCACTTCTTAAAATACCATGTTCCTCTCAGTTAACATCTAACAAGTACAACTGGGATGGCATGATTCTATACTTAGTTTTAAAAATAAATACGTTTTTGTGTATGTGTAAAATAATTTGTGAGCATATTAAAAACAGATACCAGTGTGATGAATTCACTGTTTCTTTTGTAATAATTACAATTTATTTAGCCATTTTTTTCATTAGAAGGGTAAACAGTGTTTTGAATATAGAAACCTTCATTAACTTGTTTAATTAACTTTTTAATACTTTGCCAATATAAGACTAAAATTTTAATAAACATGTTTTAGTTTAGTTTGTGGACTCTTAGATAATTAAAAATAATTAAAACTTTGTTTTTACTAAGGTTCTTATTTACTGATACAATCAGAATCATAGACTCATAGACTTAGTAGGTGTTCAATAAACATTTGAAACGTGAATGGTACTTATACCACCATTTTAATTGATTTAGAGGATGTGTGAACATAGAATAATATTTAAAAACATATTCTGATATATTTTTCATAACAATATTGGACAAATGATCTTCATTTAAATATATGCTAAACTAGAAAAAAAGGCTTTTGGAAAGAAAACTATGTTTTGTCTTCCATTTTTTCTTCTTTGGTTACTCTTCCTTTCCTATACCCTGATGTCTGTTACTAAAATTAGAGGGTATGTATTTTTTACACAGCCTCCCCTCAGGTAATTTATATACGCAATTAAGCTTAAAAACTACTGCTGTTCTGTGGTATATAGGTAACATTACTTAATATTTGTAATTTTAAATGTGATTTTTATCATTCTACCAAAAAGACACATTCACTTGTATGTTCATTGCAGCATTATACACAATAGCAAAGTCATGGAATCAACCTATGTCCCTATCAATGGTGGATTGGATAAAGAAAAAGTGGCACATACATACCAGGGAACACCACACAGCCATAAAGAGAAAGAAGTAATGTCCTTTGCAGCAACATCGATGCAGTGGAGGCCATTATCCTAAGTGAATTAATGTATGGACAGAAAACCAACTACTGCATGTTCTCACCCCGTAAGTGAGAACTAAACATTGGTTACATATGGACATAACAATGAGAACAAAAGACACTGGGGATTCCTAGCAGGGGAGGGAGGATGTGGGGCAAGGGCTAAAATACTACTTACTGGGTACTATGCTCAGTACCAGGGTGAAGGGATCACTTGTGCCCCAAACCTCAGTGTCACATAGTATACCCATGTAACAAACGTGCACATACACCCTCTGAATCTAAATAAAAGTTGAAATTATTAAAAATAAGTAAATAAAAATAAAATGTGATTTTTGATTGAATTGCAATCTATCCAGAATTTATAAAGAACTGTTACAACTCAACAGTGTTTCCCTATGGATAATAATGTTGACTATATTTTCATGTGCTTTTTTTTCCTTTTTCTTTTCTTTTTTTTTTTGAGATGGAGTTTCGCTCTTGTCACCCAGGCTGGAGTGCAATGGTGTGATCTCAGCTCACTGCAACCTCTGCCTCCCGGGTTCAAGCAATTCTCCTGCCTCGGCCTCCTGAGTAGCTGGGATTACATGTGCTTATTGATCATTCATACATCCTGTTTAGATCTTGTCTTATTCAGATTATTTGCCCATTTTAAACTTGTTTTTTGTCTTCTTAACATTTTGTAGTAAGAATTCTTATGTACATTCTGCATACAAGTCCCTCATCAGATATATGCTTTACAAACATTTTCTCCCATTCTGTGGTACGATGGAGAAAAGTATCTTTTTCTCTACCCATCTTAGGTTCATGGCTGATGCCCTTATAACAAAAGACAGATTAACAAGAGGAAAGCATACAAATTTATTCCATAGCAGTTTTATATGACATGGGGCCTTCAAAGGGAAATGAAGACACAAATAAAACATTAAACATGAATTTTAAAAAATAGGCCGGGCGTGGTGGCTCACGCCTGTAATCCCAGCACTTTGGGAGGCCGAGGTGGGTAGATCATGAGGTCAGGAGTTCAAGACCAGCCTGGCGAGGATGGTGAAACCCTGTCTCTATTAAAAATACAAAAAATTAGCCAGGCGTGGTGGCGGGCATGTGTAATCCCAGCTACTTGGGAGGCTGAGGCAGAGAATTGCTTGAACCCAGGAGGCGGAGGTTGCAGTGAGCTGAGATTGCAACACTGCACTCCAGCCTGGGCAACAGGGCGAGAATCCGTCTCAAAAGAAAAAAGAAATGTAGGTTTGATGAAGAGTGAACAGTCATGTAAAAAAATGGTAGGGCAAAAAGATTGTAACAGTAATAAACTGGACAAAACTTAGCAAGACCTATTTATTCAGATACTTTTGTACGTCTTTGTCTTCAGATGTAAGGATGATCCCTTCCTCCAGGTATGTGGAGGGTACCTATAAGCTGAGGGTCTTAGACTTGGTTCAAGGGAAGGTCAGAAAATCCTTCCTAGGCTTTATTGACCTGGTTTAGGAGAGAAGGGGTGGGGGGAAGGTTAGAGAGACCTTCCCACTTCTGCTATTTTATCAGATTCCTTCAGGTTATAATACTTTGGGTAGTATAATATTCTGAACACTAACAATCGGTTGTCTTTTTACTAAGTGCTGTCCTTTGAAATACATGTTTGTTTATTTTTTATTTTAATGTCCAGTTAATTTTCTTGGGTTGCTTATATTTCCAATATTGTATGTAAGAAATCATTGCCCAATGACAATGATTTTTTTGGTCGAAGAATTTGACAATTTTAGCTCTCACATTTATATGTTTAATCCATTGTGGTTTAATTTTTTCAATATTATGTTAAGTAGTGGCCTAACTTCATTATTTTGAATATGGTTGTCCAGATATCTGAGCACTATTTTGTTGACAAAACTATACTTTCCACATTGAATTGTCTTGGCCCCCTTTATTAAAAATGAATTAACTATGAATGTCAAGGCTTATTTCTGGACTTTTAATTCTACTTTATCAATTCATAGTTCTGTCCTTAGGTCAGTACAGTCACACTGATGACTTTTAAAGCTTTGTAGTAACTTTTGAAATAGAGAATTGTGAATTCTCCAATTTTGTTCTTCGTTGTCAAGAGTTTCTTCACTGTTGGTGTGTATTTTCATATGAGTTTGGGGATTAGATTATCAAATTTCTGAAAAAAAAAGGGAGCAGAAATTTTGTTAAGAATTTCATTGAATCTTTAGATAAATTTGGGGATAACTGTCACCTTGATAATACTAAATTTTCTGATATATGAAGGTGGGACCTTTCCAGCTATTTAGGTCTTTTAAATTTGTGTTAGTTTATAATCATGAATTTCTTTGGTTAAATTTATTCTTATTTTTTCTTTTTGATGTTATTGTATACAGAATCATTTATTTAATTTTATTTCCAGATAGGTCATTGTTAAGGAAGATGATTTTTGTATTGATGTTGTAGCTTTCAACCTTGCTGAACTCCTACATTAGTTCTAATAGTTTTTTAAAATATATATATTTGGTAGAAATTTTCTGTAGACAAGATTGTGTCATCTGTAAATATAGATAGTTTTGCTTCCTCCTTTCTAATCTGGATGAATTTCTTTTCATTCACTGTATTAACTATCCTGGCTAGAACCTCCAGTGCAATGCTGAATAGTCCTAATTATAAGGTGAAAGCATTTAGTCTGTCACCATTAAGTAGAATGTTAGCTGTAGGTTTTTTTGTAGATGCCCTTTGCTTAGATAGAGAAAATTCCGTAATATTATAGGTTTTGTTAAGTGTTTTTAACATGAAAGTGGTTGGAATTTTGTTAAATGCTTTTTCTGCATCTGTAAGATTATTGTGGTTTTTGTTCTTATTCTACTAATATGGTATATTACATTGATTGATTTTCATATGTAGAACAAACCTTGTATTACTGAGATAAATCCCACTTGGTTATAATGTATAATTTTTTTATATCTTGCTGGATTTAATTTGCTAGTTTTTGGTTGAGAGCATTTGTGTTTATAATAGTAAGGAAAGTTAGTCTGTAGTTTTTTTTGTGATATCTTTTTCTGGTTTTGGCATCAAGGTCATACTTGCCTTGTAGAATACGTTGAGAATTGTTTTATTGTCTTCAAATTTTTTTTGAAGTGTTAGTGAAACAACAGTGTTAATTCTTCTTTAAACGTTTCATAGAATTTAACAGTGAAGCCATGTGGCCCTGGGTTTTTTTTTGTGGGAAATTTCTTCATTACTATTTCAGTGTCTTTCTTTCGTTTTTTTGTTTGTTTGTTTTGCTTTTTTTTTTTTTTTTGAGACGGAGTCTTGCTCTGTTGCCCAGGCTGTAGTGCAGTGATGCCAACATGGCGTCAAGCCTCCCAGGTTCAAGCAATTCTCCTCGCCTCAATCTCCCGAATAGCTGGGATTACAGGCCTCCACTGCCACGCCCGGCTTATTTTGTATTTTTAGTGGAGACGGGGTTTCACCATGTTGGCCAGGCTGCCCTTGAACTCCTGACCTCCAGTGTCTGCCCGCCTCAGCCTCCCAAAGTGCTGGGATTACAGGCATGAGCCACCTCACCCAGCCTCAATCTCTTTCTTGTTACAGGTTCTTTCAGATATTCTTTTATTCAGTTTATATAAGTTATTTAATTTGTTAGCATAGAGCTGTTGATATAAGGGGATACCCTTATAATCTTTTTAGTTTTTAAAGTTTGATAGTAATATTTCCTCTTTCTAATTTTAGTAACTTGAGTCTTCTCTCTTTTTCTGGTCAATGTAACTATTGGTTTGTCAATGTTTCTTAGTGCTCAGGCAGGCAGCTTAAAACCCTGCCTTATTCTTCACGTTCGACTTGTGCAGAGCCTCAAGGATAGCTAAAGGTGAATTTTTCTGTGTTTATGAAGTGTCCTACTCAGGCTTGCATAGCCCTCTGCATGCACAAGGCCTTCTACATTCACGGGAATATGTTAGAGCTTTTAAAATGTCCCCACAAACATCTTATTCTCCAGCTTTTTCTTTTTAAGTATTGTTTTTTGGTTTGCTTGTTTTGTTTTGTTTGACAGAGTCTGGCTCTGTTGCCCAGGCTGGAGTGCAGTGGCATGATGATGTTGGTTCACTGCAACCTCCACCTCTCAGATTCAAGCGATTCTCATGCCTCAGCCTCCCGAATAGCTGGGATTACAGGTGCCTGCCACCATGCCTGGCTGTCCCTCTGATTTTTGTATTTTTAGTAGAGACGGGGTTATACCATGTTGGCCAGGCTGGTTTCGAACTCCTGGCCTCAAGCAATCCACTTTCCAAAGTGCTGGGATTACAGGCTTGAGCCACCACTCCTGGCCTTAAGTGGTTTTTATTAAGTTTTTTTTTTTTTTTGTCCCAGTTGTTTAAGTCACCTCAAGCCACTGCATTTTTGAGCAATTAATTGCCAGTGATTGTTTATGTGGAAAGCCCCTCTGGGAAAAGATGAGGTGATCTCACAGTGGATGATCTCTGAGTTAGGTCACTGCAAGTGAATTTTTCCAGGGTATTTTGAGATGGTTAAAATAATGAGAATTCTTGAGAACAGGTCGGGGAGGTTGGGGGTGCAGGGGGTGGGGAGGATGGAGGAACTCCAACCCTTTTCTGTCCCTTCCAGTAGCTTCTAGGTTATGGGTTTTCAAGCCTACCACAGAGGAGAGGAAAATGGAAATAGGGCAAGTTAAGAATACCAAAAAACTCACTGTTCTTGCCATTGAAGCTGCTTTACTTGAGTAATAGACCCTAGATTTTTATAACCCTTTGGTTAGTTTCCAGAGTGCTGAAAAAGTTAATTTTGACGATTTTTCTATTGTTCTCACTGCATTTATAGAAGAAAGGTTACCCAGCCATTCCTTTTGTATATGATACACTATATGTAATGTCTTCTTAAAATAAATGTTAATAATTTTCACTATAATTAACAACCCCTGAAACAAAATATAATTTTTGAGTTCATCGAGGATATTGGAATTAATTTTGAGGACATAAAGTTGAATCGCTAGAATCACCCTACTTTAGATGAAAAAAAATGGAACATTAAAAAATGAATAATCTCGTATCATATTATCAGTTGCCACACTGGCTTCTGACATACGCAAAAAGTTTAAAACATAAGTCATTAAGTGAATTGAATGGGTTGTTTTTTTTTGGACCATATCTTCAACAGAATATATACAATGGTAAAAGTGAGAAAGTATATTTGCATTTTACAATGTATAATTGTTGACAATTATACAAACATAATATAATCTTTTTCAATGATGGCATAAGAGAACATTAATGTATAACAGCATCATTAAACAAAAAGCATCTTCAATAAAATTAAATATAATTTTGTTTCTACCAAGATATTGAATATAGAAACTGTATTTTAAATGACAAGTTTAAAATAGCCTCTGGGATGAATTTGAAATGTATCATTATTTATTTCCATACTTGTAAGTAAAAGCAACATACTGTATAAGTTCAGTTATGCGCCATTGTAACACAGTATATAATCATGTTAAGTAATCTATTTTCATACCCGGTTGATACAGATAATACTATTTATCATTTTAAAACTATAAAAAGTTTTAGAACTAAAATATTTCCTTCTAAAGAAGAGAAAGGGGGAAGGGGGAAGGGAAAGGGGAAGTGAAAGTGAATGGGAGGGGAGGACAGGGAGGGGGAGAAATAAAACATATAGAACAGGAGAATCAAGACAAGAAAGATGCAAAGGGAAATTTCAACTCAATATTCAAGGAAAGTCCTACAGTGACTGTATGACAGGCCTAGGGTGCAACCAGTCCCAATCTCTGGCTATATTAAGGGATTCGATTCTCTTCAAGTTGGGAACTCAATTCAGTAGGGATATGTAAAAGGTAAACAAATACAAAAATGATAAATTATTTTTTTCAGAAAAAGAAAATGTTCTCAAGGAATGAAATATAATCATATTGTTCCTGGACCAAACTGAGGGTCAGGCTGCTATTTCTCATGGCCCAATAATGAGATGCAGATGAACTGGGGCGGAAGAGAGTTTTCATTTCTGTAGCTGGTTACAGAGAGAAGGCCTGGAAATTTTTGCCAGACCAACTCAAAATTACAAAGTTTTCCATAGCTTATATACCTTCTAAGCTATATGTCTATGTGTAAGTGTGCATTCACCTAAGACATAACTAAGGTCTGAGTCCTGACGACCTTCCTCTGGAGCCTCAGTAAATTTACCTAATCTAAATGGGTCCAGTGCTGGGGTGATGACCCTTATCTTGTCTCCTGCTAAATCACAGAGGTTTGAGGAGTTTCTTCAGACCCCCAATAAACTTGTTTGTGGAGGCCTGGGGAGTTTCTTCAGACCCACAATAAAACTTCTTCAATCCTTAATGGGTCCTGTTAAGAATTCCTTCCTTATTTTGTCATGCTTTAAGACCTAGGAAAGGCCTAGGCAAAACTATTGATGGCCTTTGGTTACATCCCAGCCTTTGTATAAGTCCACTGGCTTTTAATATTTAACCTAACCACAGGCCAGGCGCAGTGGCTCATGCCTGTAATCCCAGCACTTTGGGAAGCCGAGGCAGGCAGATCACTTAAGGTCAGGAGTTTGAGACCAGCCTGGGCAACATAGTGAAATTCCCATCTCTACTAATAATACAAAAATTAGCTGGGCATGGTGGCACGGACCTGTAGTCCCAGCTAATTGGTAGGCTGAGGCATGATAATCGCTTGAACTGGGGAGGCAAAAGTTGCAGTGAGACGAGATCATGCCATTTCACTCCAGCCTGGGCAACAGAGAAAGACTCTCTCAAAAAAACAAAAATTAACTTAACCACTCAGTCAGTACTGAAACAGCTATTAGTGAGACCTGGACTGCTACCGTATGTATATAGTCATAAAAATATAAACATTGGCTTCTCATTTAATTAAAAAATATACTGTTACTATGTTGGGTTCATGGAGAAATGGCAAGTGTGTGGGATGTGCACACTCACACCTGAGAAGTGTAATAAAGCCATATGTTCAACCTCTATCTTAGGAAACCAATGGATGAGTTGTAACATTTTGGAATCCTAGAAGAGCATTTAAGATCTGGAGTCAAAATCATCATCTTCTAGGAAGCAAGATGAGAAAGAGAAGGGTAGGATGAAGTGGGGAGCTATTTTTAACTATAAGCCTAGATGTACTATCTGGCCTTTTAAGCTATGTACAGTTATTATTTTGATAAAAATAAAAATAGTAAATTAAAAAACCAAGAAAGCTAAAAATCACAATGTTCTTTCAATTAATATTAGAATTAACAAAGAATGTTATATTGGATACTTCTTAGGCCTTGGGTTTTAAGCCCTCGGTCTTGCATCACCAAATACACTGATAGTAAGGAAGGCTTAACCATTTTATTACCGTATTTTTTAATTATGAAAGCAAAGCAAGTTCACAATTAATTAGTTGAACAATTTTTAACCATACGGTATTAAAACTTTAAAGACCCGTGCAGAAATCCAGAAGATGAGGACAGAAACTAAGGTAATATGAAAAGCTGTTAAAAAATATTAAGAACTTACACATTGAGAAACAGATTTTAGAATACAGAAGAAATTGCTGAATTTTGAGGGGTGAACAGAATGGGTTCTAAGTACAAACATGATAAATATAATGACCCCACATTTTTTTTGGATAATCTAATGTAAGGCTTATATATAAGGACTTTGAGAAGCCTACTAACACAGCTGCTATTATGTTTCTGTGTGTAGTTACCAATGTCAGTGAACAAACTTACAATACTTATGATGTAAGTTTACTGCTCAATTTGCAGTCTCTTTAATGTAAATTATACCCAAACCCTCAGCAGGCATGTATATATAACTTTATAAGTTATATAAAATTATTAGACTTATCTGAGAGAATTTCATTCTGGACAATAAGATATAAATTACTCACGTGGTTTCAGAAAATAATTTGTGTATTAAGCTATTTCTGCGAAATTACTGTTGTCTGTTAGTAGCGCTTGGAAAATTTTGTACTGAAATAGAACATTTGGTTTTCTTTTATATTGAAAATCTCTGCATCTAGTTTTGATACACATTTCTCAAGAGAATTTTAAAAGAATTTTAAAATGATTCAAGTTGTCTCTTCTGGCCATGTGTTCCTTTTTTGTTTGTTGGCTTATTTTTAATTGACACCCATTGGAAAAAGAAAAATCACTTCAACAGATACTTATTAGAGAAACTCATTATGTAATCAAGCAATGCCCTAGGAATAAAATCTGCTAAACACCTGGTACCAAGAGGGAATCTTTTTTTTCCTTTTTTTTTTTTTTTTTTTACAAAGTCTCGCTCTGTCACCCAGACTGGAGTGCAGTGGCACCATCTTGGTTCACTGCAACCTCCACCTCCCGGGTTCAAGCAATTCTCCTGCCTCAGCCTCCTGAGTAGCTGGGATTACAGGTGCCCATCACTATGCCCAGCTAATTTTTGTATTTTCAGTAGAGACGGGGTTGCACCATGTTGGCCGGGCTGGTCTCAAACTCCTGACCTCAGGTGATCTGCCCGCCTTGGCCTCCCAAAGTTCTGGGATTACAGACAAGAGAAAATCTTAGAAAATGTGTTTCATCATACTGTCTCCACACAAAATGCATTTAAAATTCTCATGATAGAATTTTAATCAAAATTAGAGTAGTTTATTAGGGAGAGAGTGGAAGACTATATCCTTTTTGAGTCCCTAATGCTTTCTTTTGCAATGTTTGGTACATTTATGTAATGCATGTCTCAAAAAAAAAAAAAACCCCATAACATGGTAAATGAAACAAGCAAGTTGTAAAATGATGCATGAGTATAAAAATATAACAATAATAAATACATTAATAAATTTGTATTTGTGTGTAAGATGTTAAATAACTTGGAGGATATACAGCAAATTCATGATTTGGGATTAGGGGAAAAGTTACTTTCAATGAAATTGTGAGTAACAGTGAAATGGAACTATAAGTTTCCTGTAATGTTTTATCCCCTATATTATGTATAAAAAAGTATATATGGCTTAATGAAAATAGTTACTAATCCTGGCTTGTGGGAACATGGGTACTATGTTATTGTCTGTACTACCTTGTATTTTTAAATATTTTAAAAAAATAAAAATTAGAGCCCATTTTAAATATTTATTCTCCACCTTGAAGGAATTAGATTAATTTTTTTTTTTTACTATGTAAAATTTAATCCTTAAATTGTTTGGAAATGCTCTGTGTACAGGAGATATATGTTATAACAAGAAATTACAATGGTGAGTGTTCTGATATAAAGAACATTTTAAGCAAGTAGTAATGCTACCTACGGGATCACCAGGAAAATTGTATGTTACATTTAGTTTTCTTTTGAATCACACTTTAATTAGAGAAAGAAAAATAGTTTAGAGCATATTTTCTGGCATTGAAGCACTGGAAAGAAAATTGCTATGTGTAGCACACATTTCAATGATGTGGCTTTCCATAATTTTGGGCATCTATTGATTCTTTGAATAGATAAAATAAGTGCTGTAAGAAACTGTGAGTACCTGTGTCAAAGAGCTATTGCTCAGGGCAGAGAATAGTGCCAGATCTCCACTTGTTCAACTACCAACTCTGCCAGTGATTAAGAGAATGAGGTAAGAAATATAGCCAAAAATGTAATTATTACATTTTACTGAGAATTTTGAATTGTGTTAAAGACATCATGATATTTGAAACTAGGCTCAAAAAATAATTGCAGGATTGTGGTAATGCAAATTAATACCCAGGCTGGGAAAACATTATTTAGAAAGAAAGAACAGAAAATTCTTACCCCTAAATTATGTTTTCAGATTATATACTTCATATGAATAGTTCAGACTCAAGGTCTTTCTCTTCCAGTAAAGTAATTAGCTAGTTCACCCTCTCATTGTAGACAACAAAAATGCCAGAAGAATTTCTTGTTAAAAATGCCAAAAACGTATTTACATATCTCAAGATTTTGGACATTTTTGGAGACATTTGCCAATTCATATGAGGTGGCTGAGAATTTGAGCTTTTGGAAAATTTACAGGGCTGGATGGACTGAACTGAGAAATCAGAGTCCATTTATACCAGAGCTGCAAAATGATGTACCCTAAAAGTAAGACTATTCTCAAAATTACCTAATTTTTGAAAGGACTGATTCTCAGCTTTATGCCATTTCAGTAATTTGGAAAATCTAAACTCTTGACAAAGATTATAAGAATTCTGAATTTCTAGTTCTTCCGTAACAAGAAGCCAAAAAAAAAAAAAAAAAGACAACCAAAACAAAACTCTCAAGACTCAACTTTGAATAAAGGTAACATCATTCTTAACCTCAAAATATTTCTACAAAAAAATTTTCAAATGCAGTATCCAACACACCATCACAAATAAAAAAGGAACAGAAAGACCAAAAAAGCCATGGGATAAAAAAAGGCTGTTTTTTTTTTTTCATTATTTATTAATAAAAGAAAAGAACAAGAGTGTATGACTTTCAGGCCGGGCGCTGTGGCTCACACCTGTAATCCCAGCATTTTGGGAGGTCGAGGTGGGTGGATCCCTTGAGGCCTGGAGCTCGAGAGCAGCCTGGGCAACATGGTGAAACCCTGTCTCTACTAGAAATACAAAAATTAGCCGGGTATGATGGCTCACACTTGTAATCCCTGCTACTTCCGAGGCTGAGGCAGGAAAATTGCTTGAACCCGGAGGCAGAGGTTTCAGTGAGCAGAGACTGCGCTACTGCACTCCAGTCTGGGCAACAAAACGAGACTCCGTATCAAAAAAAAAAAAATAGAGTCTATAATTTCCAATATATCAGAGGGAACAATTGAATGACACATTTTTTCTGAAGGCTACAGGTGAAAGACAAAAGCAACTCATCAGGAAGGACAAATAAAAAGCATATAAAATGTTGGCTTTAAACATAAAATAAAATATGTCAATCATTACATTAAATTTCGATGAAATAGATATTCCAGTATAAAACAAAGATGACCAAACTGAAGAACTAGATAAATCACTTCTTAAAAAAGTGTTAATCTTGTTGAAATGTTTTAATAGACTTAAAATATAATAAATTATTGGTAAGTAAAAAAAATCAAAGAAAGCAGATAAAAATAACCATAATCAGGAACAAAAAAGTAAACATTGCTATAAATCCTCTAGAGTGACCTTAAAAATATAATAGAAAGTTGCCAGGCGCAGTGGCTCACGCCTGTAATCCCAGCACTTTGGGAGGCTGAGGCGGGTGGATCACGAGGTCAGGAGATCGAGACCATCCTGGCTAACAGGGTGAAACCCCGTCTCTACTAAAAATACAAAAAATTAGCCGGGCATGGTGGCAGGTGCCTGTAGTCCCAGCTACTCGGGAGGCTGAGGCAGGAGAATAGGTGTGAACCTATTTTATGTGTGTGTATATATATATATATATATATATATATATATAATAGAAAGTTATAAACAAACCTTATGCTAAAAAATGGCTCACTCTTATAATCCTAGCACTTGGGAGGCTGAGGTGAGTGGATCACCTGGGGTCAGGAGTTCCAGACCAGCATGGCCAACATGATGAAACCCTGTCTCTACTAAAAATAAAAAAAAATTATCTGTGTGTGGTGGCTCACACTTGTAATCCCAGCACTTTGGGAGGCCGAGGCAGGTGGATCACCTGTGGTCAGAAGTTCAAGACCAGCCTGGCCAACATGGTGAGACCACCTCTGTACTAAAAAAATACAAAAAATTAGCCGGGCATGGTGGCGCATGCCTGTAATACCAGCTACTCAGGAGGCTAAGGCAGGAGAGTCGCTTGAACCCAGGAGGTGGAGGTTGCAGTGAGCTGAGATTGCACCATTGCACTCCAGCCTGGGCAACAAGAGCAAAACTCCATCTTAAAAAAAAAAATAAGAATAATAATACAAAAATTAGCCAGGGTGGTGGCTCATGCCTGCAATCCCAGCTACTTGGGAGGGTGAGGCACAAAAATCCCTTGAACCTGGAGGAGGAGATTGCAGTGAGCTGAGATCCCACCACTGCACCCAATCTGGGTGACGGAGTGAGACTCTGTCTCAAAAATAAATAAATAAGAGAATTTGAATGAAATTCAATTTATTTGACAATTTCTAGCAATCCATACCATACCAAAATTGTTACAAAAGGAAGTAGATAACCTGAATGCTACTATACTTACTAAAGAAATTGAATCAGAAATTAAAATGTTCACAATGAAAATCTCAAGGCCAGTTGCCATCAATACCAGTTTCTGACATATGTGCAAAATGATAAAACAAAAACAAAAACAGTTTCTCACAAACTCTTCCAAAGAACGAAAACAGAAAAGGAACACTTTTTTCCCTCATTTTATCAAGGTAGCAACACTTTGACAATAAAACACAGAAAGGTGAGGACAAGGAAAAACCTGCTAGGTAATCTTAGTTATAGCCATGCATGCTAAACTATTAAGCAAAATAAAGAAAGCCTTATCTATAAAAAATAAAACATACTCATTTGGGGCATTCATGCTCATTTGGGAAATTTCTGGTTCATTTAACGTTTGAAAAATCAATAAATATAATTTGCCACATCACAGAATAAAGAATAAAACTCACATTATCTCAACAGATTAAAAAAAAAACTGATTAAATTCAGACTCTATTCACAATAAAAGGAGAAAAAAGTGAACTAGGAAAAGAAGAGAACTTCCTTAGGCATTTAAAAATTAAAAAGTTACTTACAAAAACTCTACAGAAGATGCATGCTTAGTATTCAAACTCTTCATATTGAAATATTTCCCCTCAGTGCTAGCCTAAAGAGACAGATTCCCACAATCATCACAGCCACTCACTTTTTTCCTGTAAGTTCTAGAAAGTGCAATCAGGCAAGAAAAAGACCTACTTTTTATGGATTAAGAGAATATATCAACTTTTTAACAAACTTTCTGACTAAAAGATTAGGTATTATATATATGGACTACTCCATTGTAATTAAAACTGATGAATTATAGCTCCGTGTGACACGGAGATGAATTTTAAAAATCTATAGAGTTCAAAACAAAGATAAACATTAACGTTTCAAAAATGCATACCCACCTAGCAGAACTATAAAAGGGAAAGTGAGAAAATAAAATCAAAAGAATATTGGTTCAGGCTGGGTGCGGTGGCTCACGCCTGTAATCCCAGCACTTTGGGAGGCCGAGGGGGGCAGATCACGAGGTCAGGAGATCGAGACCATCCTGGCTAGCACGGTGAAACCCCGTCTCTACTAAAAATACAAAAAATTAACCAGGCGTGGTGGCCGGCACCTGTAGTCCCACCTACTCGGGAGGCTGAGGCCGGAGAATGGCGTGAACCCGGGAGGCGGAGCTTGCAGTGAGCTGAGATTGCTCCACTGCACTCCAGCCTGGGTGACAAAGCAAGACTCTGCCTCAAAAAAAAAAAAGTGTGTGTGTGTGTGTGTGTGTGTGTGTGTGTGTGTATATATATACACACACACACGTATATATATACACGTATATATACGTGTGTATATATGTGTATATACGTGTGTATATATATGTGTGTGTATATATATACGTGTGTGTGTATATATATATGCGTGTGTGTGTGTATATATATATGTGTGTGTGTGTGTGTGTATATATATAGGTTCCATTTAGGACAGAAGGTGTCATGATTGGGAAGAGGTCGTGTAGGAAAGGCAAGGTGCTTCTGGACTGCAGGTATCTTCATTGTATTAATTTCACAGATACTCTCTTTATAATAATGTGTTAAGCTAATCATTTCTATTTTATGAACTTTCTTTTATGCTTGCTATT
Source organism: Homo sapiens (assembly GCF_000001405.40). Taxonomy (NCBI): domain Eukaryota; kingdom Metazoa; phylum Chordata; class Mammalia; order Primates; family Hominidae; genus Homo; species Homo sapiens. Next base: position 164,792,566 of record NC_000005.10, read on the forward strand.
TTCTAAAATAAAATTTAAAAAGATAGCTTGAACTCCAGGAAATTTGGAATGGCAGTATGGAAGTGTCCAGAAATTTTTTTAAAGTCAGTCACATTTCACAATCGAAAAGTGCTTGATTGATTCGTTGTATGAAAAGTGTTTTACAAACTGTTTCCCTCACTTAATTTTTTAAAAATTGGCCAGGCATGGTGACTTACGCCTGTAATCCCAGTACTTTTGGAGGCCAAGTCACTTTTGGTGAGCCCAGGAGTTTGTGACCACCCTGGGAAACATGGGGATACCCCCCCTTCCACCCCCAACCTCTACAAAAAATAAAAAATTAGCTGGGCATAGTGGTAGGTGCCTGTAGTCCCAGCTACGCAGGAGGCTGAGGTGGGAGAATCACCTGAGCCCAGGAAGTATAGGCTGCAGTGAGCCGTGATCATAACACTGCACTCCAGCCTGGGTGAGAAAGCCAGACCCTATTAAAAAATAATAATAAATAAATTATTTGTTCCCCTGCTTTAAGCTCCAAATACAAAAGGAATAAGAAATGTTCAAAGCTTTTTACTTTGTTTTGGGATTTTATGACTCATAGTTAAAAGATTAGTTGAACAAATACCTTTGCACCTTATGGAAACATAGCTTGAGTTAAGTTTGCATCATCTGGGGAAAAAACGGAAAGACAGATACTCATGCATTGGTTAGACATAATTGTATATATTTTCATGATTTCTATAACTAAGTTTAAACACGTGTATGTCCTTCAAAGAGTATGTTTACTGCTAAATTGTGGTGGGTTTTTTTTCACTCTCGTCCCCACCCCTAAATTGTGCTTTGGTTTTAAAAGTGGGTAAGTTCAAAATAAATAGCTGTAGCTATTATTCTAAAACTCTCGGCTGGGCACAGTGGCTCATGCCTATAATCCTAGCACTTTGGGAAGCTGAGGCGGGTGGACCACTTGATCCCAGGAGTTTGAGCAGCCTTGGCAACGTAGTGAGAAGTCGTCTCTATAAAAAATAAAAATAAAAAAGTAAACAAAAAAATAAATAAAGGGCTAATTCTATTGGGTTTTTTATGAATTTTAAAAACAATGTCAACAAATGTATTGATACTGCACTTTGCAACTTACAGTATTTTTGTCTTCCAAACCATCATAAAAATGCAATAGTGAGGCATTAATAAAACTGTATTTATTCTTGAAAATAGGAGGTACAGCTTTACTTTTGACTGAATTTGAGAGATGTGTGTACTGTGACTATATAGTAGCTACACAAAAGTCATTAGTCTGTATTTAAAGAAGGATCAATATCTAATTCCTAGATGAAAGCACCTTTTTTGAAGATGTGGTAGAAGATGTCAAATCTAGTTAACTTGATGTATTATAAGCTTATCAAAAATATAATGAATGACAGCTTCAAACTATTTTTTATGATTACCACTCACAGGTGGCTAAAGTTTCATTAAAAGTATCATTTATAGAGTAGTAAAATCTTTAGTTATTTGAGGAGCAGTGAACAAATCTATTGAAATTCATGACACTGCAGTCACTCAGGAAAATATTAGGGAGTTTTCTAAAATATAGGGACTTGTGAAAAATATTATTTCTTTCCTTTAGAAATTATTTGGTAACAATTATTTTAAATCAAACGTTAGCTTTCATAGGAAGAGCATCAGAGAAAAGAGATTACTTTAGAAATTTGCCCATCATGTTCTGAAAGTTTAAACAAAATGATTTTCATGATATTTAATGTCTTAACATGTTGTGAATTATGTGAATGATTCTTTTTTTGTTTATTGCCATCATTATCCACAACTGCTTTATCTTTTAAAATTAGATTTTCCCACCATATAGAATGTTCTAGTTGTTGGCACTGGTATAAAATAGCTACATTTCCAGATTCAGAAAGAACTATTATAGAATTCTAATTTGATATACAAAGGCAATTTTGGAATTCTAAATTAGGAGCAAAATATTTAGTGTATAAAACATATCATTGGCAATGTTATGCAATGAGGTTTTGCCAGAGCACCATAGACACAACTTAGATTTTCCCTAGGAATCAAGCACATTTACTGTTTTAATCATACATAATTAATAAGTATCCTCTAGATCTGCCTTAATATATTCCTAGAACACAGATTTTGATTTTAAAATCATAGTTCTTATTTGGGATTTGCATACTTCATTAATTGCATTTTATTTCATTAAAAAACAACACTTGCAACAAAACTAATTAAGAACAAATTGGATTTTTATTATGGCCATCAAATTGTATGAACTTCTGTAAGAAAATACTTGCATGGTTTAAAGGAGGAATAAAATTATCTTTTTAGAGTTAACTGTATATCTTAGGAATTTGATATCAAAAATGCATTTAATCTAGATCACTAATTGCATGCATTCTAAGAGTTTTAAAATTAATTTAAATTTATGTTTTATGATATGTTAATCCAGGTTAGTTCATTCCCCAAATATTTATTGTGTATATTTTATGGGCCACGTAGTTTTCTAGATATTGGAAGTACAGCTGTGAAGATGATATTTAGGTTGACTCTTCCCATAGAGTTCTGGTAGAGAGAAAAAAACAAAGGTGATCACTTTGGACTATGGTAAGCTCTATGATAAAAATGACTTGCACTGACAATGCCTGTAGGTATGCTTCTTTAGATATTATAGTTAAGTCCCCTTTCAGATGTGACAATTATGTGAGCTGAAACCTGTATTGAAAGAAGCTATATCCATATCAAGGTCTAGAGAAAGCTTTCCAGGCAGAGGGAATGGTGAGTGCAAAAATCATAAAGTAAGACTAATTCTGGCATTTCTGAGAACAAATTATAAGGCCAATGTTATTGAATCCTAAAGAGCAAGAAGGAGAATGCTAGGATACAAGATGTAGGAAGTAGACAAGGACTAGTCTGCAAAGAACTCTTGTGATATGGGAACAAGTTTGAATTGTAGACTCTATATAATGGGAAGGGAATCATATGATCTGAGTGATATTTCACATGTTCATAGGTTTTGTACAGAGAATGAATCACAGATAACAGTTACAGGCCATTACTCTGGTTTAGGAAAAATATGTTTGCAATAACTATAAATGCTCCAGTTGTTTAAAATTATGTTTGCTAGTGGCTGTTCATCTGGGAAAACATTCTTGGGAGAAAGATCAATTTGAATCATTTTTTAAAAAAGTTTCAAATGGTTTGAATGATATTTCTAATGTATGTCCTATGGAATCTTTTGACATTAGTTTTTCAGCTTGATATAATAAAGCAAAAAGTAAATGACATCCAAATATATTTTCCCAATCTTTCTATGAGAAATAATGGCTTAAAGGAAACTTTAGTATAGGCTAAAGAGTTTTATATTTGACTTATTTCAGAGTGAGTCACAGGCTCTTTAAAGAAAAAAATACATAGAAATATTTGAAACATATTTTTTGTTTTATTCAAATATAAGCTATCTCTCCCTTTCTTAGCTAGGGCAAACTACTAATTTTCCTAACCCTTAGCCAATGCATTCTCAACTCTGTAATTGATTAGATAGAGCTCCTAACAGTTTTTTGAGGAAACCTTTTTGCAAAGAGTGTTAACATGTGTGCTCCAAATAGAGGCTCGTATACCCACTTATGTTCAATTAGTTGAGCCTTTAATGAGATAATCTACAGCTTTGCATAATTTTAAAAGCAAGAAGAATTTCCCATTTTTACTTGCATATGAGACAGTTTTTCCTTCCCAACAGTTTTGTACCCAAGTGTACCCAGCAGGGAACCATTTGAGAAGGCACATGATTCAAATAATTAATTTAGGCATGGCCCTCTTTATGGACACTGAGCTTTAATTATTCTTAGATTTTTACAGGTATTGAGTGGCCCTTATAAACCTAGCTAACATACATACATTACGTGTGTCTCTGTGTGTGTTTGTGTCCATTTTCTTCACTAGGCTTTATATAAACTATTTGTAGTTACTTGAAGAACAGACTTCTCATTTTTGCTCAGTAGGAAACACAAACTACAAATTTTCATTATTCTATAGCAGACATGCTATCAGCATGCTTCTATTAGTTCTTCTCAATCTAAATTGTGAAACCTGGTATGCTAAATAAATAATCAAAATGCTCCTATATGGATCTTCCCTGCATGGGGTTAGTATAATGACTGCTTTGGCGCTTCCTTGATTATCTGGTTGCTGTGAGACTTTTCCCTTTGGGCTGCTGGGATTGACTAATAGTGGTTCAGGAGAGTTTAGGTTCAGCCTTGCTTCACAATAGGAGGCTGGTTAAAGGTATCTTTCTGGTCTTAGGAGGCATGATTACTTTTAAGAATTATTTATTTAGTTAGTTATTTGAGATGGAATTTCGCTCTGTCACCAGGCTGGTGTGCGGTGGTCCAGTCTTGGCTCACAGCAACCTCCACCTTCAGGGTTCAAGCAATCCTCTTGCCTCAGCCTCCTGAGTAGCTGGGACTACAGGAACGTGCCACCACGCCTAGCTGATTTTTGTATTTTTAGTAGGGATGGGGTTTCACCATGTTGGCCAGGAGGGTCTTGATCTCCAGACTTCATGATCTGCCCACCTCAGCCTCCCAAAGTGCTGGGATTACAGGTATGAGCCACTGCACCCGGCCAAGAATAATTTCTTAACTATTTACTGTGCTAATTTGCCTTACTATTGTGCAATTTTACTTATACCATTATTTTATACAACGTCCACATTATTCTGGAATATAAAATATTTTTTAAAATTACTGCCACAACATATAACTAGCATGATTACTCATTCATCAAGAAATTCAATCTTTTCTATGATTTATAAATAAATAATTGCACAAATGAATAATCAATGGGTAATCAACCAATAGATTAACAATTATTAATTGAGGACTATTTGGTATTGGATTCCTTTTTAGGGTTCACTGAAGGAAAAAGAGTATGATACAGTCAAGCAATGAGTGAAGCTGGGAGCTTATGAAAAACTAAACGTTTGAAAATATATTGAATACAGTTGTCATGATTTTCAAATAACACTTTTTAAAAATTAAGTTTTAAACTTCCCCTCGTGACATTTTTTCTTCGTTGGGTAATTTCCCGCCCCCCCGCCCCGCCTTTGGTGTGTATGGTGGGGGAGGGGCTTAGTTTTCTACTTGGTTTCAGAAAAAATTCATTCAAAATTTACTGTTCACCTCCAACTAAATGCTGGTGAAACTCAACTCCTTCTAGACACATATTGGGAGATATAATTTCTTAATTTTATTATATTTAGAAAAAGAGATAAACAAAGAGGAATGCTTATTCTAGACAGAATTTAGACATTAACTTAGCACCCATCGATGGCCTTTTCATGGATGTTTGTTTTGTTTTTGACTTTCAACCATAAAAAAGCAACACAGGAATATTGTTGAACTTTCATTTTGGCCTTTTCCTTTATTAAGCTCTAATCTTCTTTTAAAAATTCTAAGTAAAGTATATCATGTTATGTTTGGCTTGCTTTATTTTTTTCATTTTCAGATTTTCAGTCTAGTGCTAAAATACTTTTCATTTTATCTAACAAAGAAAATCACTTATAAGAAGAAAGTGAAATAATCTTTTAAAACAGCATTTAACAACATACGCTCTGCCTCTTCCTATTACCAAAATCACTGGTGTTGGATGTCCCTTCTTGGTGTGATGCCTTATCTTATTGTATTAGTCTTCACTGTCTCTCTTTTTCCTGAGTGCACCTTTCAAAATTATGACATGTTAATCACAGACATTAGAGAGGGGAATGATCCATTACTGTAGGTCATCTAATACCCTCAGAGGCCAATCGTCCTTGCTCTATTATCCAGTGCTTTTCACAGGTTATTTTAAATAACTACAGAAATGAAGATTTCCGCATTTCCTTATTATGCAACCAGTTTCCCCCATGGAATTCACTTTGCTTTGATACTCTAACCAGTTGCTAACAAGCAAACTATTTCTTGACACATGTAAAATTGCACAGACTTGTAATACCTCCGGCACATTGTGCTCTTTAACACTGTTATTAATATGTTAACAGGTGGAAACTTATTATCATCTGACTGCTTGGAGTGTGAAATGTCTTATACTCATTTCATTTTAAATTCTTTGTAGTTTATGGTTACACTTGATTAAAGGTGGTAGTGTGAGCACTTGCAGTTGTTTTAATTCAAGATAAAAATGCTGAGGACTACATTCAGAAATATATTAGATATTGATTCTCACATATCTTTAGCACTTGTCTAATCTGAATTCAAATGCAAAAATTTTGAAACAGTATGTGAAAACCAGATTAAAGCATAACCAAACTGTAGTCAAAATTAGTAAAATGAATGCATTGAAAGAGCTATAGAATAGTAACAGTAAATTACTAGAAGGCAACTTAATATATTAATATATAATGTATCCAAATACAGAAGTTGAGAAAGTTGATGACGGATATCATTCTTTTTGGGTTATAGCTTAACTTCATTGCTCTGATATTTGCAAGCTAAGTGCATACCAAAGAAGAATGATAACGTTAGGTATATTCATATAAAATAAATATCATGTCTCAAATGTGCACAGGCTACATTTTTAAGAATACCTTCTGCTGATGTCTCTTTGTTCCCATAACCCAAAATAAGTGTGTGATAATCAAATACCACCAACAACGGTACTTGGAAATAAAATATAGTAGTTATCTCCTAAATGTTAAGAGGAAGATTGTCCTTAAGCCATAAAACAGTCCTTATTTTGAATGTGAATGGAAATTGGATACAATGTATAACCATTTGAAGCATGCATCTATGATGGTATTGTCGGGGGCAGAGGGCCAAGATTAACTTCTATCCTCTTAGAATTTTCAGCTGGGTCTGTGAATTAAAATGTCATGAGACAGAATACCAGGAGAAAAGCATACACATGTCTGTAACAGGAGTTTTACATGACACAGGAGCTCTCACAAGAAAATGAAGACTCAAAAAGGAGTTAAAAGTTGAACCTTTACATAATGAGCTGAACAGAGACTAGCAGATTGTGAAAATGAAACAAGGCCAAGAGGGCTTGGGTTCGTGTAAAGTTAATACACGTAGTTAATCATAGAGACCTGACTAGGAAGATGAGGGTTAGTTTCCAAGGCTTGTTTGTACAGACTTTTCTCAGCCTCAATTCCTTGTCCCTGGTAATAAGAATCTTACTTTCCTCCTGGCATATGGATAACACCTTCTCTATGTGGGTTTTAATTGCCTGATTTCAGGAAGAAAAAAAGGGAAGTCTGAGTGCCCTTCTTGTACTTGCTGTTTTTCCAAGTACATTTTACTTGAAATAATTTTGTGCCAAAGTGGCAAATTCTGCAACCCTTCCATGATATCAGTTAATCCATGTCTCTTTTCTGGTGTAATAAAATTATGATTCATAGTGGGTCCAACCAAATTTAATTTGATTGACTTATCCTCATACCTGAAGATGGAGCCTAGTTGAGAGATTATGAGCAAATGCAGCAAGAAGCACATAAAATTCACACTCTAGAAAGGCTAGTCCTCCAGAAGCTACATCTGTTGCTACAGTGAATGTGGCCTCATGTCCTGAGGTCCTTAGGTCATGCTGTCAAGTTTTCACTCCCAAGATTATGTTACTCTGTCAAGATTTCTCACAGGGGCATTGGTCTGACTGAACTTGAGGTATGTGTATGTTGCCTCCATGAGCTTGAGAAAAAGGATAATCTTATTTTGTTGGTTTCTTCAATGGTAAGAATTAAACTACCTCCCACTAAGCCTGTACAGGATTAGAAATTTCCAAAAGAGAGGTGTGATCATAAAAAATGGGTGAAGGTTAATAGAAATGCTATTAGAGCCAAAAGTGAAAAATAAGCACTGTAAGTACCCGTGTGTGTCAGGGATTATGCTAGCTATTAAATGGAACTAAAGAGGAAAAGACACCATCTTTTCCCACATGGGTTGAATAATCTGTCTAATTGTGTTATAAAATAACTAATATGGGTTTGAAATATGTACTAGTCTGTTCTCACTTTGCTATAAAGAACTGCCTGAGACTGGGTAATTAATAAAGAAAAGAGGTTTAATTGACTCACAGTTCTGCAGGGCTGGGAAGGCCTCAGGAAACTTACAATCATGGCAAAGGGGAAGCACACACATCCCTCTTCACGTGGGGGCAGGAAGGAGAAGTGCTGAGCAAAGGGGGGAAAGTTCCTTATAAAACCATCAAATTTGTCTAGAACTCAATATCATGAGAACAGCATAAGGGTAACTTCCCCCAGGATTCAATTACTTTCCACTGGGTTTTTCCCATGACACGTGAAAATTATGCAACTACAATTCAAGATGAGATTTGGGTGGGGACACAGTCAATCCATATCAGTCTGCCCCTGGCCCCTCCCAAATCTCATGTCCTCACATTTCAAAACACAATCATGCCTTTCCAACTGTCCCCCAAAGTTTCAGCTCATTCAAGCATTAACCCAAAATTCCAAGTCCAACTCTCATCTGAGAAAAGGCAAGTCCCTTCCATCTATGAGCCTTTAAAATCAAAAGCAAGTTAGTTCTTTCCTAGATACAATGGGGATACAGGCACTGAGTAAATGCTACTGTTCTGAAAGGGAGAAATTGGCCAAAACAAAGGGGCTGCCAGCCCCATGCAAGTCCAAAATCCAACAGGACTGTCATTAATCACTTTTTTTTTTCTTGAGACAGAGACTTGCTCTGCCACCAAGGCTTGAGTGCAGTGACACGGTCTCAGTTCAGTGCAACCTCCACCTCCCTGGTTCAAGTGATTCTCCTGCCTCAGCTTCCTGAGTAGCTGAGAGTACAGGTATGCACCATCACGCCCAGCTAATTATTGTATTTTTAGTAGAGATGGGGTTTCTCCATGTTGGCTGGGCTGATCTTAAACTCCTGACCTCAGGTGATCTGCCTGCCTCAGCCTCCCAAAGTGCTGGGATTGCAGGCATGAGCCACCATGCCCAGCCAGTCATTAAATCTTAAAGCTCCAAAATGATCTCCTTTGACTCTATGTCTCATGTCCGGGAGATGCTGATGCAAGGAGTGGGCTCTCATAGCCTTTGGCAGCTATGTCCCTGTGGCTTTGCAAAGTACGGCCCTCTGGCCCAGCGGCTTCCATGGTGGCGTTGAGTATCTGCTGCTTTTCCATGCACATGGTGCACGCTGTCGGTAGATCTACCATTCTGGGGTCTGGAGGATGGTGGCCTTTTCCTCACAGTTTCAGTAGGCAGTGCCCCAATGGGGACTCTGTGTGGAGGCTCCAACACCACATTTCCCTTCTGCACTGCCATAGCAGAGGTTCTCCATGAGGGCTCTGCCCTTGCAGCAAACTTCTGCCTAGACATCCAAGAGTTTCCATACATACTCTGAAATCTAGGCAGATGTTCTCAAACCTCAATTCTTGACTTTGGTGTACTCACAGGCCCAATGCCATGTGAGAGCTGCCAAGGTTTGGGGCTTACACTCTCAGGAGAAATGGCCCGAGGTGTACCTTGGCCCCTTTTAGCCACGGCTGTAGCTAGAGTGGCTAGGATGAAAGTCCCTGGACCTGGCCCACAGAACCATTTTTTCCTCCTAGGCCCCCGGGCCTGTGATGGGAGGGGCTGCCGTGAAGGTCTGTGACATGCTCAGGAGATATTTTCCCCATTTTCTTGGAGATTAACATTTGACTCCTCATTACCTATGCAAATTTCTGCAGCTGGCTTGAATTTCTCCTCAGAAAATGGGTTTTTATTTTCTACCACATCATCAAGGCTGCAAATTTTCCAAACTTTTATGCTCTGCCACCTCTGGAACACGTTGCTGCTTAGAAATTTCTTCTGCCAGATACACCAAATAATCTCTCTTAAGTTCGAAGTTCCACAGATCTCTAGGGCAGGGGCAACATGCTGCCAGTCTGTTTGCTAAAGCATAGCATGGATCACATTTATTCCAGTTCCCAACAAATTTCTGGTCTCTGTCTGAGACTACCTCAGCCTGGCCTTCATTGTCCATATCACTATCAGCATTTTGGTCAAAGGCATTCAACAAGTCTCTAGGAAGTTCCAAACTTTCAAACATCTTCCTGTATTCTGAGCCCTGCAAGTCTCTAGGAAGTTCCAAACTTTTCCACCTTTTCCTGTCTTCTTCTGAGCCCTCCAGTGTGTTCCAACCTCTGCCTGTTACCCAGTTCCAAAGTCACTTCCACATTTTTGGGTATCATTATAGCAGCACCTCACTCTACCAGTACAAATTTACTGTATTAGTCTGTTCTCACACTGCTATGAAGAAATATCTGAGACTAGGTAATTTATTAAGGAAAATGGTTTAATTAACTCACAGTTCCACAGGGCTGGGGAGGCCTCAGGAAACTTACAATCATAGCAGAAGGCATCTCTTCACAGGACATCAGGAGAGAGAATGAGTGCTGAGCAAAGGGGGAAAAACCCCTTATAAAACCATCAGATCTTATAAGAACTTATTCACTACCACGAGAACAGCATGGGGGCAACTGCCCCCATGATCCAATTACCTCCCACCAGGTCTCTCCCACAACACTTGGGGATTATGGGAACTACAATTCAAGATGAGATTTTTTGGGCGGGGACACAGCTAACCCATGTCAAAATATAATCACAATTTGAAATGTTTAATGATTTTCCTTTCCCTGGATAATATTAAGTGTTCATAGTCTGGAAAAAATAAGAAAAGCAAGACATTTATCTCAGAAATGTCACAATGATAGTTGTGAAATTGAACCTCAGTTTCTTCCTTTCTAATATATAAAGAATATTAACATTACGTAACTCATAGAGCTATATGAGGCTAACAGAGGATTAAATGAGGTAATAAAGTTATGGTGCATAGGACATATTTGGAATTTAACAAGAGTTCCATGCATGTTACCTCTTATTCTTTAAACCCTAAAAGGATTTAAAAGTGTTGTTCCAACTACCATTACTATGACCAATATTATTATTAATAATAATGGTGATGATAATACTATCATCGTGCATGCACATGCATGCAGCACAGTTGTCATGTGAAGTTATCCAGTCATTTTTCTGAGTTTCAGAAAAAATTTGATAATCACTGTTGTAAACAGCTGTTAAACATCAATTTATATGTGGTGAAATATGGGTCATTTGCAATAGACACAGACTGTATTCTTTGCTATCAAATTCAGTCTATGGATATATCCATATTTTATCAATACTTACGTTTATATTGTTTATTGGCTTATCTTCCCCATTTGCCTCTTCTTTGTGTTATATAAGAACAATAAAGGTAGGCATATATTTTATCTCATTTGCTATTGGATATCCAGTGTTTGTCAGTGCCTGGCATGTAATAGGTACCAAATAAATTTTTACTGTTGACAATCATATGGATTCAACAACAAAAGGGGTTCTCTTCTCCTGTCTTTCCTAAAGCTTTAAATTCAATGTACAAATTTGTACATTTGGCATGTTCCTTTCTCTCTATCATCACCACACACACACACACACACACACACACACACACACTACACACATGTTCCCCAGGGTTGAAAACAGTGTATATTGAAGACAGACAATATTTCTTAGTTGGTCATTACCTTTTTTTTTTTTTTTTTGAGATGGAGTCTTGCTCTGTCGCCAGGCTGGAGTGCAGTGGCGCGATCTCAGCTCACTGCAACCTCCATTTCCTGGGTTCAAGCAATTCTCCTGCCTCAGCCTCCCAAGTAGCTGGGGCTACAGGCATGTGCCACCACACCTAGCTAATTTTTGTATTTTTAGTAGAGACAGGGTTTCACCGTGTTGGCCAGGATGGTCTCAATCTCTTGACTTTGTGATCCACCTGCGTTGGTGGATCATGGTTAGAGTTTGTTTGGCATTTGTAATAATGTTAAGAATGAGCTTTGATCTATCCTAATACTCAGCAGAGAAAACTGAGATTTAGATAAGTGAAATGCCTCCATTGAAACAGTTTAAGAGAAGCAGAACTTGTGATTGAGCCTGGGTCTATCTGATGCTGAGGCTTGAGTGCTTTCACCCCACTGCACTCCTTCCCAAGTACAGTAAACACATAGGATATTTTTGGTAACTTAGTGAAAACTAAATACATTAATACATTAAAGTATATTATACAAAATTTAAGTTCTGAGAAGAGGGAAGGCAGATAAATTGAATGACCCAAAGGAATAATGTGTCTGCATTTTATCCCTGCTGGGATTACAGGCGTGAGCCACTGCGTCCGGCCTATCTTTGCTTATTCTTATGCACCTCATACTTATATTGTTTTAAAATATAAGCTAAATATATCCAATCACCAGTTTTATTCATTTTATACTAGAAATCACTCTTAGAACCTTATCTTTCCACTTTGATTTCCATAAACGTGGTCCAAGCCCTGAACATCTTTATTTTACACATAGATTTCTGCAATAGCTGTTCTAACTCTAATCCCTGTTACCATCTCTAAGTTATGGTCTACTTAACACCATAGGAATCTATGCTGTCTTATCAAGAACAGTATCCTCAATGGAATCTTCTCTTCATTCCCTTTCCTTTCCTTAAATTCATTAACAAAGAGTGGTAGGAAAGCATTACAGGTTGAGAAAGGGCATGGGAGAGCACTTTCTTGTGCACTCTGTAGCCATTATCTCATTTGTTTCTCTTAATAAACCTTTAAGAGACCTGCATAACAAATAAATACACATGGTTAGAGTTTGTTCGGCATTTGTAATAATGTTAAGAATGAGCTTTGATCTATCCTAATACACAGCACAGAAAACTGAGATTTAGAGAAGTGAAATGCCTCCATTGAAACAGTTTAAGAGAAGCAGAACTTATGATTGAACCTGGGTCTATCTGATGCTGAGGCTTGAGTGCTTTCACCACACTGCACTCCTTCCCAAGTACAGTAAACACATAGGATATTTTTGGTAACTTAGTGAAAACTAAATACATTAATACATTAAAGTATATTATACAAAATTTAAGTTCTGAGAAGAGGGAAGGCAGATAAATTGAATGACTCAAAGGAATAATGTATCTGCATTTTAGCATTATAAAACATAAAGAAAACTTTTTTTGCAAAAAGTTTACTAAAGCCTACTGGTATCTTGGAAATATATCACATTTAACAATAGAGAACTAATAAATGAATGAGGATGGCGATGCAACGTCAGGGGGGTCTGATCGGTTCTGGCCTAGTCTGGTATATTTTATAGTGTTAGAGTTAAAATTGCATGTGACAATGTTACTAGGAAGTAGATTGGAGGATTAGCATTTGAAGGGAATATTGTCCATTTGATGTAAGGGAGGTGATTCCCCAAATTGGGGAATTAGCCCAGGAGGGTTCTTGGTTTTGCCCAGGAAAGACTTTAAGGGTGAGCTGGTTGTGTTAGACAGAAACTTTTACTAAAGCAGCAGTGTACAGCAGCAGCAAGGTACTGCTCTTTGTGAACCAGGGTTACCCCATAGGCAGTGTGCCCAGAGGAGCAGCTTAGGGGCAATTCTGCAGTCATATTTACATCCACTTCTAATTACGTGCAAATTAAGGGGCAGATTATGCAGAAATTTTTAGAAATAGGGTGGTAACTTTTGGGTCATCAGGTCATTGCCATGGAAAGGGATGGTAATTTTCAGGTGTTGCCATGGCAATGGTAAGCTGACCTGGCACACTGGTGGGTGTGTCTTACGGAAAGCTGAGGACTACATTCAGAAATATATTAGATATTGATTCTCACATGTCTTTAGCACCACATGTCCCTCTTTTATTAATATGTATATTATTCTCACATATCCCTGTTTTAGCTAGACCTCAGTTTGTTCTGGTGTCCAAACCCTGCCTCCAGAGTCAAGTCCCACCTCCTACCTCATATTTAGTAATTCATGTTCCTTGTGATAAATTTTTTTTCATGCAAAGTCACAAAATATTCTTATGGTCTTCCTTACTCAGACTACTCTACTAGAAGCCAAATATATTTTATGTATCCTGTCAAGATAGGAAAAGATTAGACAAAAAAAGTACAACTAAGGAAGAAGTCTTTGGTAATAGTCATTATAAATATTTCCGTTTTAGCACTGAAAAAAATGTTAATGTATACAGAAATGTGAGCTCTTTAGGTAAGTGATAATGACAAATTGAAAATTGTTATGTAGTTTAGATTGGTGAATGATGATATTAGAAACCTGATCTTTATACTTAGTAGTAAATACTTTAATAATGATTATAGACCAAGAAATAAAGCTGTCCACATTCATTTCCAATGCTGTTATTTAACAGTCAGATGACCACTCACACAGGTCAGAAGGGAATTGACTTATCACATGAAAAGCAGTATGATTTAATTTAAAATGGCTTGAACATTTTTTAGAAGAAATAAACTGATGCAAATGGCTTTTAAAGTGAGATTTGAAATGGAAAGTAAAACAAACCGTAAATTGAACTAGCTTATCTCAGTCTTAAGCCTACGTACATTTAATTCTATATAATCAAAGGTGATTGCAAGAAACTAAGTCACATAACACCAAAAATAACAATTAATATTTAGATATCATTCTGAAACTAATTTTATTTATTTATTGTGATAAAATAAGCATTATCAATGGACAAAAGCTTGTGAGAATTGCTGTCACACAGGCAAAATGTCATTGATCTCTTCCTTTTTGTCATTCTTTTTTCCTTGCTGTTCCTGGGCATTTTGTGGGAATTGCCGAATTTATATATTATTGGAGGATATACTTATGCTCTGTTATATTCTAAGAAGACTTTATGTGCTAAACCCATTCTATGATGATCTTCCCATTAATTTCATTGTCTATATCATGAATATATACATATAGGTGTAATTTGCCTTGAATGTATACAAAAGTAAAAATTGGCTTTTATCAAGTTTTTATATTATGCTGAGATATATATGATACATACTAAGCAACTTGCTTGCATTATTTTATTTTACTAATTCATTTGCATATCCACTTAATAGATAAAGAAACTGGGATAAGAGGATTTAAATTTTGCAAAATCAAACAACTAAAAAGAGGCAGTCAGTCCCAAGGTTTGAGTTCAAAATATATGACACCAGTGTAAGCCTCCTAACCACAGTACTAGATTCATTGGTATATATGTTTGTCTCCTAATTTTCTAATGCTTTAAGGTTCTCATATGCAGAGCCTATATATATATATTCCTCTGTTTCTTTTCTCTTCATAGATATTTTTATGCCATGGATAACTAATAAATATTTCTTGCACTGATTAATATGGTAATATCAGACATATAAAGTGTACATAGAGCCCATATAAATTTTAGAGACCAGTCAGAATTTGTACTGGCCAGTGACTCTTATAAAAAAATAATTTTCAAGGCCAGTTTGACTGATGATATCATTACAGTTTTTCATTTTAAAAAAGATCTATGCATTTTGTTATGAAACAAGTTCAATGAAATAATGTGCCTAAGAAGTAAGCCTTGCTTTGTTTCATTTTTGTATTTATTCCCATGGCAACATTATGCATATTAAGTATAGCCTTGGAAGTTTCCTTACAGCTTCGAAATATACAAATAGTTTAATAAAGTTCCCAACTCATATTATACGGGGTTCCTACAAAGTAAATTATAAGGGCATCTTGTCAGAGATGAGTTGAAAAAGATTAATTCTTATAACATTTTTCTACATAAGCCTAAATATTCACACCCAGGTATTGTTGTTATGTTAACTATTTGGAACCCGTTAGAAAAATGAAGGGACTAAACGCACCGATGGTGGTATTAAATAGGCAATATATGATTATAAGTACCTTGAAATACATAAACAGTAATAATAGCTATCATTTATTTTGCTCTTACTAATGCTAAACACTGTACTAAGCATCTTGCTTATTGACTTACTCTTTTTCTCATTCACTTGATAATTCTTTGTTGAATACCTACCATTTGCTACATCATGTTCTTGGTGTTTGGAATCTAACAGTGAAAGAAACAGCAAAGTTTTTGCCTTCATGGAATGAAGATTCTGCTGAGCCTCAGAATAATGTGAACATTAGGTACTGTGTGGTTCTTTTGTTGTTGTTTTGGTTTGGTTTGGTTTTTTTTTTTTGAGACAGAGTCTCACTCTTTCTCCCTGGGTAGAGTGCAGTGGCACGATCTCGGCTCACTGCAACCTCTGCCTCCCAGGTTCAAGTGATTCTTGTGCCTCAGCCTCTCCAGTTGCTGGGGTCTACAGGCGCCCGCCACCACGCCCGGCTAATTTTTAGTAGAGACAGGATTTCTCCATGTTGGCCAGGCTGATCTCCAACTCCTGACCTCAGGTGATCTGCCCGCCTCTGCCTCCCAAAGTGCTGGGATTACAGGCGTGAGCCACAGCGACAGGCCAAAAATTAGGTACTGTTTTATCCCAGTTTTATAGCTGAGAACTCTAAGGTTTCCTCAGAAAGTAGGCTATTTGCCTAGTTTACTTGGCAAAGCCATAATTCAACTCATGTTTGTCTTACTTCTGATTCCAAGGACTTAAACACTGTACTATACTGAAAATAAGTGAGTTGAGTAGATTAAGCCACTGCATCAAGACTATACTTATTTTAAGATGGTATCTGGCCGGGTGCGGTGGCTCATGCCTGTAATCCCAGCACTTTGGGAGGCCAAGGCGGGTGGATCACGAGATCAGGAGATCGAGACCATCCTGGCTAACACAGTGAAACCCCGTCTGTACTAAAAAAATACAAAAAAAAAAAAAAAAAAAAAAAGTTAGCCGAGCGTGGTGGCGGGCGCCTGTAGTCCCAGCTACTCGGGAGGCTGAGGCAGGAGAATGGCGTGAACCCGGGAGGCGGAGCTTGCAGTGAGCCGAGATGGCACCACTGCACTCCAGCCTGGGCAACAGAGTGAGATTCTATCTCAAAAAAAAAAAAAGAAAAAGAAGATGATATCTAAGAAAACCAAAATGTTAACATAATCTCTTATGTGTTAATACTTTTTCACTTGAATTATGCTGTAAAGTTATCATCTTTAGCTCTTTAATTTTATTTTTGGCCTCATGTACCTCTGCCTATGAATGATATGGACACTGCGTGTGAGTTGCATGGAATGATAAGATATCATTCAAGAAGAAATTATTCAAGGAATAATAGGAGAATTATAAAATGCAGAGGAGACTGGTTTATAAGTGAATTCATTTAAAAAAACCCTTTAAAAATGTAAATTTTGGTTTTATAAACAAAATCAAATTTATTCCAATAAGTGAATATATTAGTGAATATTAAAAGATTATTCAAAATTAAGTAAACATATCTCATATAACTGTCAAGTGATGTCACCTTTCAAAATAAAAGAGACACATTATATTCTATTAGTTCAGTAGAGTGAAATAATTGGTGATCTATCTATCTGTCTGTCCATCCATCCATCTAAAAACAAACTTGCTCCTTCAACCTCAACCTCAGAGGACAAGAATGAAGCCAATTTTAAAAGTAAACAAAAGGCTCCATTTCTGTGTTCTTCATGCTCTGCTGATCACAACACCAAGAATGTGACTAATGTCTAAAGCAAAGTATTTTTGGATGTCTTGCTATTGTAACATGGGCTTCAAATAGTAATCACCAGCATTCTTCAGTATAGAATTAGCTTGTGGATTATACTGGTGATGGAGAGGGTCCCTAGGCCTCACTATAGCAATTTAGTATAACCAATCCTCCAGAGAATATGTGGTAAAGGGAAATTCTGGGTTTCATGCTATTTGTATTCATGGGCTTCCCATGAATCTTCACTTTCAATGGGAACTGTAGGTAATTCTGAGAGAGATTGCCCTTGTTCTCTCATTGGGCTAACAGTGGCTTTGATGGAGCCAATAAAAAGGACAGACTCTTATATGGCAAAATATAAATGAATAAATAATAATAATTAGAATATCGTGTGATTTTTTTTTCTTTCCTAATAATTGTGGCTTCCCATTGTGACAGTTATTTGTCTTTAATCTGCTTTCATTGGTAGAATTCATGAACTTCAAATACTCTCACAGACCTATGCTATCATTAAAATATTCTTTACTTAGAAATAAACAGGTTTCATAAATCCTCTCTCAATAGATCAAAGTATGCATACACATGAATTAATTAAGATGTTTAGAGTGAATGCTCTGTGACATAAGAGGGCAAACAAGTGGTGAAATTGTTTTTAAATTATTGTTAAATGCCATCTTACGTTCCCAAACTGTTCTTATTTTTAGTGGAAATGCGTGACACTAACTTTTGATATTTTTTAAACAATTTTTTAAAACTCATGGCCTTATAGTCATTACATATGTGTGAATTTTATATTTTAACTCCTAAATGCTTTTGTATTTTTTTTCTTTGCTCGTTTTTCCTCCTATTTCCCGTTCCTCTGTGTGGCATCTACTACTTTTCAAGATCGCTTTTCTACTTTTATATCCCCAGTTTAGATTCCCCATATTATGCCCATCATCTCTTTTGGTCTAGAAACACAAGTAAAAAGTAACATCTCTCAAATATTAAAATACAAAGTCACTTGATCCTAATTTAACGTGAAAAAAGAAAAACATATAAACATATTCTATGCAATGTATTTAAAGTTAGTTGTTTATAGATTTATATTTCTTATGTAAACTTTTTGATAAATGAGTACGTCTGATTTTTCTCATGCAATTTAGATTTTTTAATTTATTACAGTAAGTACACATTATATTTTTAAATTCAAAAATGTAACAAGAGAAAATAGTATGAAAAATTTGGAGTTCACAAGAAATCTTATTTATGTTTTTTTATTTAGATGTTTTGGCTGGAAGAAGGGGAGTTTGTTTTAAAAGGAGATAATAGTCCCAACTGAGAAATTTTCTTTTTCCACACCAACATTTTTTTTGCAGTTTTTATAACACCTACATTTTCTTATTGCCTGCCTTATGGTTCTATTTGGAGCTATGCCAGTGTCATAACTAAAATTTTTTTTTAAATGCAGGGGAGTAATGCACAGTAATAGTGCAGTAGATAATTCAAATCAAGCTTTCCTGCTGAGAGCAACTAGAAATATTAGACTTGAGCAATGTTAGTGGAAGCAACAGCATTAACAAGCAGTTATCAAGGGGAGGATTCATGGCAAAATACTTTCCCCTGTGGGTGTGTTCAGTTCTTTAATGGGTTGGCAAGTAGTTTGAGCAGTTCTGACAGTCTCCTGGGGATAAGGAAGGAGTAATAGGGGCTCAGAGTGGGATCATAGGAGTGAGGATAAACTAAGTAGTACCCTGCAGGAATTACAGTTTACTTTTGTATTTTCTCAATAGCTACAATTGGATTGAGGAAATCCTGGATCACCAGTGCCCGTTACCTAGAAGAAGCAACCATTAACGGTTTTAGACTAAGATCTTATCATCTAAAGAAAGGGTCAAATAATTTCTACAAAATTAAAAAAAAAAATCTGTCACCCAATAAAAATAATCAGGTATAGGAATAGAGAATACAACATGAGGAAAATCAGTAAAAACAATCAAAGGTAGAAAGGCCCACTTAGTTCCAAATGATATGTGATAAAGCACAGATTGTGAAATAATAATGCTCGCTCTGTCAAACAATTAAAGCAAAGATTGAGTATTAGCATATGACTGGAAATGTTAAAATAACAAATGGAAATATTAGAGATGAGTAATTAAAATTAAGAACCAATTGATAGTTTTAACACAGTCACAGTTTAAAAGAGCATTAATCAAATAAGAAATAGATTGAAAATAAATACATAGAATAAAGCAGAGAAAGTCAAAGAATGAAAATTACAGAATTATGCTATGAGACAAAGGTGATACAGCAAAAGGGTCTAATTCTCTATAGTTGGAATCTGAGGAAAATAAGATAGAAAATAGAGACGAAGCAATTTCTGAAGAAAATATGACTGAGAACTTGACAAAACTGGAAGAAGACATCAAGTCACAGAATCAAGGGCACTATAAATCCGATGCTAAAAATAATTGAAACTCAGTTTTGTACCTAAGATCTCTTGAAATAAAGTTAAAAAGAGCCAGATTTAGAAGCAATTGGAGATTTAAGAACATGCCATTTTTCAAAAAACAATAAGATTACCAAGTGGGTTTTTAATGGAAATGATGGAAACCAAAAAATAATAGAGTGACATTTTTAAATAGTGAAAGGATAGAAATATTAACCTGTAATTTTGTGCTCCACAAAACTATAATTTAAAAATGTAATCAAAATAAAGATGTTTTCAGAAATATAAGAAATTAGAGAATTTATCTTTGAAAGATTCACCATAAAAGAAATGCTAGAGGTATTCTTTAGGATGAGGGAAATTATCTTCCAAAAAGCAAGAAATTATCTTCAAAAAAACCAAGAAATTACAAAAAGAAAAAAATACAAGAAATATAAATGTAAATATGGGGGGATATCTAGATGAATATTGATTTTATTAAACAATATGTCTTACAGGGTTTAGCACACCTTTAGTCCATAAGCAGTTCAGTAAATTGAGTTAAAAAATAAAAAGAGCATAACTCTAGAAGTAAAAAAGATAACACTGAATAATAAAAACATTCAAGCAAAAAAAAAACTCAAGAATAAAGGAAAAGAGAAAGAATCAATGGCATAACTAAAGAAGATGGAAAAATATGGTATATTTAAAGCCAAGTATATCAATATGTATGTTAAATATAAATGTATTAAATGTATTGGCAAAAATTTTCAGATTGAAAAAAATAACAAGTGATATCCACAACAACATGTCAAAACATAAACATATATAATTTGAATTGGCGAATTATATTTTATATGCAGTGGACCAAATGACTATGTTCTTAATATTAACATATTGAAATCCTAATGACCAAGATGATAATATTAGATATATGAGTCTTTGGAAGATAATTAGGTCATGTGTGTAGAGCCTCATAAAATGGATTAATGCCCTTACAAAAGAGAACCCAGAGAAATCCTTTGCCCATAGGATCATGTGAGGACCCAGTGAAAAGACATCCATGAATCAGGAAACAAACCCTTACCAGATACAGAGTCTGATGGTGCCATGATCTTGGACTTCTCAGCCTCTGGCCTGTGAGAAGTAAGTTTGTTAGAGACATATGAAAAGAGATTACTACTATACCTCAGGTGTTTATATATACTATTCATAACAACAACCTTTTTTTTTTGAGATGGAGTTTTGTTCTTATTGCCCAGGCTGGCCAGGCTGGCATGCAGTGGCGTGATCTCGGCTCACTGCAACCTCCACCTCCTGGGTTTAAGCGATTCTCCTGCTTCCATGTCCCAAGTAGCTGGGATTACAGGTGCCCACCACCATGCCCAGCTATTTTTATTTTTTTTTTAAGTAGAGACGGGGTTTCACCATGTTGGCCAGGATGGTCTCGATCTCTTGACCTCATGATCCGCCTGCCTCAGCCTTCCAAAGTGCTGGGATTACAGGCATGAACCACCACACCTGGCCAACAACCACCCTTTGAGGCTATTAGTTTTTTCAGGAAATAGAGATCCAAATAAATTAATTGTCCAAGGTTAAAAAGTTACAGAGTTCAGGGATGCCAGAGTTGATTCTCAGCCTAGTTCATTCTGACTTCCAGTCTTACAATTAGAGACTAGCCAAATCTGTCCCCACACTGGATTAAAAGCATCCTTAAAATAATGTGATATTATACTTGATAAATTGAATCTTACAATAAATATTATTTGCTTAGTTGCAAAAAAGAAGAAATGTTTGTTGTTTATAAGCCTCTCAGTCTATAAATTTTTGTTATAGCAGCCCAAATGGACTATAACATCATATAAATTTTTCTCAATAAAGACAGTAAACAATAAGAACAGGCATATCAAAGAAAAAGAAAGAAAACACTAAGCAATACAAATACTAACTTTACAAAAAAAAATTCACAGTGCTACACTAATGGCAAGCATATTAGAAATTAATGTAAAAAAACCCCTAAAGATAAAAGGAAGCATTCCGTCACAGTTTTAATTTATTGGGGAGATCTAACATTGCTAATATTATATAAATGATTTAATACGATGTCACAATATAAAGCAAAAATTCACAAGACTATAAGGAGCAAAAACAAATCTACAAATAAAATGAGAAATTTTATCACACCTCCCTCAGAGAAACTGATAGAAAAAGCAGGTAAAAATCAGAAAAAGATATAAAATATTTGAAAAACATAATTGACAAATTTGACCTAAAGGATATGCTGTGTAGAAAATTACACCCAAAACATAAAGGAAAAAACAATTTTTTCCTGAGCACACAAACATTTACAGAATGTGTATAAATGCTGTGTCATTAAGCAAGTTTCCATTAGGACCAAAAGACCTTGAAATCATACAGAGAAAGTACTTTAACTATAAATAAGATTTTTAAGACTGATAGACATTATAAAATTAAGTAGAAAGCTCCAATATGTTTTGCAGTTGAAGAAAGTACTTTTAATCAATTCAGAGGTCGAAGGTAAAATAATTAATATTAAATATAACATGTTTGTATTAGTCATAGTTCTCCAGAGAAACAGAGTCAGTAGGATTGATAGAATCTATCTATCTGCATGAAACTGGCTCATGAACTATAGAGACTGAGAAGTCCTGGAATCTGCTGTGTGCAGGTTGGAGAACCAGGAAAGCCAGTAGTGTACTGTAGTTCAAAGTCTAAGTCCAAATACTTGAGAACCAGGGGAGCCTGTAGTGTAAGTGTTAGGACATTCCAGAAACTTAAGAAACAGGGGCTCTAATGCCTAAGGGCAGGATAAAATGGATATCTCAGTTCAAACAGAAAGTGTGAATTCTCCTTTCCTCCATTTCTTTGTTCTATTTGGGCCCTTAATGAAGTGGATAATTCTCATCTATTATATCTAATAGATTGATGAGAATGATCTTCTTTACTTGGTCTACAAATCTGGATGGTAATCTCTTCCAGAAATATTCTCAAAGACACACCCAGAAATAATGTTTTACCAGCAATCTGATCAAACCTTAGCCCGTCAAGTTGACACATAAAACTAACCATCACAATGTTTTTATCTGCATGTTAATAAAAATGATGTATCAAAACTTATGGGAAGGAGAAAAATATTTTTGTAGAGAAAATTTTTGGCATATATTTGAAAAGAAAAAGTGAGTATCAGTGAACCAAACATCCTTATTAGGAAGTACTAGAACAGCAATTTAAACTAAAAAAAGAAAAAGAATTAAAATAAGATGAAAACAGAATTACTAAAATAGAAAAAAATAAAGAACAGTCAAGAAATCAATAAAGCTAACAAATTCTGAGCTTAAAAGAGGGAAAGAGAGAGGAAGAGAGAGAGTATAGAATAGCTAATATCAAGAATAAAAATTAACAACTCTAAAAATCCGTAGATACATTAAAAATATATGAGGATATAATGAACAATTTTGAAAATCATAACATGAAAATATAATCAACACAAGAAAAATAAAAATTTGAATAAACCTATGAATATTAACAAAATTTAATCTCCAGTTAATAGCTTTTCTATGAAGGAATTTTTAAAAATTAAAAGATCACAAAACAATACAAAACAAAAATCTAGGTCTAGATGTGATCATTGGTGAATACCTCCAAGGATTTAAGCAAGGCAGAATTGTCTTACACCAACATATATAAAATTGCAAAAATAAAATAAAGTAAAATGAAAGCACAATGCTTTCCCATTTATATTTTGAGGATAAGACATTTCAAGAAAGGATATTTTCACACATTGATCTTAAAGAAGAATATAGAGTTCAAAATCCTAATACGAATATTAGCAAAGTTAATTCAATAATGTACTTAAAAGAGGTAACGCACCATACTGAGGTTATTTTTATCCAGGAACGTAAGGTTAGTTTAACATTGAAAAATAAATTTAACATGGCATATTACTAAGAATAAAAGAAAAATTATGTCATCATTCTGAAAAGCATGGCAAAAGAAGGTTTGATCACATTCAATATTTCATGATTTAAGTAATCTTAGAAAACAAAAAGGAAAGAACTTAGTCTCATAAATGTATGTATCACAAGAAAAGTCCTATGGAAAAAATAATGCCGTATCTTGACAGTTTTGAAGACTTCTACTTGAAATGGAGCCCTAAGTGGCTGCCATCATCACTCTTCTTTTTATTGGAGTCCCTCACACTGCAGTAAACAACAACAAAAAGAAAGACAACTAATGTAGATCACAGAGGAAGTAATAACATTCTTATTATTCACATATAATAATATATAGATAGAAGTAAAAAGTACACATAATAAATTAAAATTAATAAAGTATTTTAGTAAGGTTTCTGGAGGCAAGTCAAAGTACAAAAATCACATTTCTTTATAGCTACAACAAACAGAATATTAAATTTTAAAACCATGTCATTTATAATAAAATGGCATCGAAAATTTAGCAAATAATATACCCAGTAGACAATACGTAATACCTCCTGCAAGAAAGTACAAAAAATATTTATTGGGAGAAATTAAAGAAAATCGAAGAATGTGAATATGCATGTCATGTTTATGGAGTGAAAGACACACTGTAATGTAGATTCTAACTCTCCCTAAACTTGTCTTTAGATTAACTGCAATTCCCATCAAAATCCCCATGGGAGTTTTTGTGGAACATGATGGGATGACATTAAAATAGTATGAAAATGCAAAATGCTAATAATAACAAGCATCATATTCTGCCTTGAAGAGCAAAGGGAATGGACTTCCTCTATCAGATATCTGGGCTAAGTGGCAATATGGAAGAATAGGAAACGATAGTATCTTTAACAGGTGATACTGAAACAATTGATTATTGATATTGAAAATAGTGTGACTTGATCACTAGCACACATTATATATTAAAAATGAATTCCAAGGAATTATATATTTGGATGAGAAATGCAAATTTTCTACAATATAACTTTGGGAGAATATCTTTAAAATGGAGTAGGGCAGTATTTCTTAAATAGGACACACAAAGCATTAACCACAAAGGAAAATGTTGGTAAACTGGACAAGGTTAAATTTAAGAACTCACTTCCCAAAGATGTTATTAAGAGAATGAAAAAGCAATTCACAGAGTGAGAGAATATATTTTCAAGGCATCAGTAGATAAAGGATGTGCATCTGGAATATATAAAGAATTACTAATCAATAAGAAAAAGACAAAACAACTCAAGAGATGAATTGGCAAGAGGCTTTAATAAGATACACATATCAAACAAAAGTGAGAAAACTTTATAAACCTTATTGGTATTTAGGGAAGTGAAAATTACAACATGATGAAACATCACGATGTACCACCAGGATCGTAAGAATTAATAGGGCTGACAACTCTTAAGTGTTGACAAAGCCATAGAACACTGTGAGTTCTCTTACACTGTGGCAAAGGGAGTTACTTTGGGAAGAGTTTGATCCTATCTTGTAAATATAAATGTAGGCATATACTCCATATCCCTGCAATTATTCTCCTAGGCATACAATCAAGAGGAATATGTTCCAAGACACATACAAAAATATTTAAAGCAGCATTATGTGGGCTATTTGGATAAATTGAGTTATTATATATGCAAATAATGGAATGCTATACATCAATGAAAATGAAAGAAATATAGCTACAATGAACCATATGCCTGAATCTTACAAATATAACACATGGAGTGAATGATACCAGATACAATAAACTACATACTGTATAATAACATTGATTAATATTTCAAAAAATAAACAGAACAGTTTTTAGGATTTTTTGGTTAATTAATAAAACATGTAATGCAAACTGAGATAGTGACACTATGAAGTTGATTTTTTTTTAAGAAATTGGCAATAAGTAATTAGTGGGAGGGAACATAAGGACTGGATTTCTAGGTGGCTAGCCATGATCTATTTCTTAATCTAGGTGGTGATTACACAGGTATTCATGATGAATTGTGCTGCCTATATACTTTTGTTTACTATTATATATGAGATATTTCACAACAAAAAGGGTTAAAGAAAATTTAGTTCAGCTCCTTTTTACAGAAACACCTAATAGAGTGCTGGGGTGGGAATGAGTCAATAAAACTGTGCCTACTAAGATTCCACAGCTCTGGTGGAGGTTACCACCATGAGTGTCAACACAGTGTACCCAGGCAAATTACTAGAATCAAGGGATGTCAATCAGATGTGCAATTCTGCAGAAACAAACATTCACAGCAGCAGCTCTCTCAGCACTGCGGCTCTGGAGAGAACTAACTAAAAAAAAGGTAGAAAATAGAGAGAAAAACTAAGTTTGTGAAGGCAGGTTTAAGGTTTACATTATGTCAGGAGATGTCCTTACACAGTTGCATCCCTCTATCTCCTATCTGGTCTCTCCAAGTGGCTATCACTAATGCTTTATTTTGTAGCAGCAAACTGAGCTTTCAGATGTGGGAGTAATTGACCTCAGTGACCAAGAGTTATTTGATTCTTAACTGAGTGCTATGGGTGGGGTGGTGGTAATTAAATTACTTTCTAAACTAATTGGGAAAGTTTCACTGATTGTTAGCAATATGATAAAAACACTGTTAGCAAAAGAAAAAAGTTTTTAAGGTCAAATAAAATCATCTGTTTCCTACTATTGTTCAAAACCTTCAAAAAATTTTCTTTGCAGAATATCTAGTTCAAGTTTCTGCTGTTAGCATGGAGTATATTTAAACTTTATACAACAAGCATATTTAAAATATTTGGCCATTAACTCCAATAAGACTATTAGAAAGCATATTGGACTTAATGGTAAAATTTATCTAATGAGGTCAACTCTCTATCAGCCTTTTATATATTACATCATCTTTAAATTCAGGCTCCACTTCTCTACCTATGAGACTCTCCTTCGACTATGAAACTTGTTTTTTCTTTATCTTTTACATTTATACAATCCTAAAATAATCTCCTGGATACAAGTAATTTACTTTGACAATTGTTATGTAGTTTTTACTGAACATTTTGCTCTTCCTTTTCTCAAATTCTTATTTATGTTGTCTTTAATTTGGGGGACTCCTTTCTATTTTCCTCAGCTTCTTATTTCTTTATGTCATTCTTCTAGTAATGAAAACAATTTATGCAATGACTCAATATTCTCATTATAATTTTGTATATCAAATTACTCCTCTGAGTTTTTTTCTATTTTGCTGATTTGTGGACGTCTAAATTTTTGTCTTTGACTTTCTATCTCTACTGTCCCTGAGTCTCAATCACTTCATGATTTTAGTTACCATTTGTTACTAATAGCTACCAAATCAATATTTACACCTCAATAGCTCCTGTAAGTACTAGATTCATATTAACAATGTCTCGTCTCTACTACAATATCCCAGAACTTGATGATTGTTAGGGCATCCTCTTTCATGTATTCATTCCAAAATTTGTTGTATACCAGCTATTATTAGAGAAGACAGTCCTAAGTCATTTTAACAGTGAAATTAGTACATGGAAATGCACTTTCAGATGGGAAGAAATAGTTCCAACTAAGTAAATGGTTTGAGAAAGTCAGAGATCCCAAACATGTACCTGTCCAACATCAATGATCAGGAAAAAAAAATCCTCTTTAAAAGTGAAGTGACTCACACCTATAATCCCGGCACTTTGGGAAGCCAAAGTAGGTGGATCACCTGAGGTAGGAATTCGAGACCAGCCTGGCCAACATGGAGAAACCCAGTCTCTACTAAAAATACAAAAATACAAAAATTAGCCTGGTGTGGTGGCGGGTGCCTGTAATCCCAGCTACGCAGGAGGCTAAGGCAGGAGAATCACTTGAACCCAGGAGGCGGAGGTTGCAGTGAGCCGAGATTGCACCACTGCCCTCCAGCCTGGGTGACAGAGCAAGACTCTGTCTCAATAAATAAATAAATAAATAAATAAATAAATAAAATGTCAAATTTATTTGAATTTGTTGGAATTTTATTAAAGTTTATCTCCCTTTGCTTTTAACTGGAAAGCTAATTGTTTCCCATGTATGAGTCATTATTTTATTTATTAAAAACCACTACAACAATAAATGTTATAGGCTGATAGGCTTTTATCAATGCCTTTTTATGATCATGGTTATTATGAAGAATTGTAGTGCACATTCTTCTTAAATTAAACAAACCTTTGCCCTCAATATGGTATCCTCTTAAAACATACTAGGTGTTCTCAAACTTGAGTATCAGAATTCTCTGGAGGATTTGTTAAACCTGGAGTATGTAATATGTGGATCTGGGCTGGAGACTGAGAATTTGCAGTTCTAGCAAGTTCCTAGTTGATGCTTCTTCAAAGACCACATGTTGGGAATCATGAACAAACAATACTACTAATACTTGTTTTTTTCCACACCTGTTTTAAAACTTCTACAAGTTTAATTTGCTACATTTATAGATATTTGGAGAAAAAAGTGGCACATGACTTAGGATTTGCATAACGCTATCTGTTTCACAAACTTTTTATTTAAACCTTGACCAAGCTATTTGCACATTTAAGATAAATCTTTTACACAAAGCTTTGGGGACTGATTTTATTGTGCTAATTCCTAGGACAACAGGCTCATTGAAATATCTCAAACTTTCAAGTCTCCTCACTGGAAACAACACTGTGCAAAGGACAACTTATTTGAAGAACTATTTCAGAAAGAACTCCAACATCATGAGTGATTATTATGCACAGCAGGTGTAAATGAATTATTTATCAAATATGTTTTCATTATTTCTCAGTGAAAACATTGAAGATCTTCTTTCCAAGCACCCAGTTTCAACAATCATTTGTACACAGAGCAGGTCTTTACTTAGACAAATATTTATGGGTATGCTTTCATATGAAAAATGAAAGAGCTATTATAAACACAAACACTGTACTGTATTTTGAAAGCATAAAGTGAATAATTAGTAAATAATTATGCCATTTGATAAACAATTTTCTTCATTGCTCACTTAACTTCATCTTGTGTTTTAACATTTGGCATTTTTAAAGGGTTTATTATGCACCCCTCTCTCAGAGGAAAAAAAATATTAATCTAAAAACACAAGCTATTTGTGCAACTTAATATCAGAGGTACTGCAATGATGAGCTCAAAATTTTCAAGCAAGTATCTAATAAGTAAATGTGCTCAGGTAAACAAGAACTTTAACCACCTATATAGGTTTTACATACATGTGCAGTAATGGTACAGGATCTATTAAATGTGTCTAATAGATATACACACAGACAAACACACACAAATACCCTCATACAACACACACACAGACTCTGTTCACACAGGATAACTATTTGTCCTTCAAATGAGCAAACATTTTTATGATACAAAGAACCTGCTCAATGCAACTATTTATTTGATATATTATAGCATATATTTATTTTGCAAGTGATTCACAGTTCAAATTGTTTATTGATATCATTACATCCTAACTTTTATGAAGTACCCTAAACTCTTCAAGACCAACCAAAGATTGATATGAAAGGAATTTTGTAATTCAGTTATGAAGAAAATTATTTACTTGCCATCCTAGACAAAATTTTATATATTGTATATTATTGCCAAATAAAAATGATTACAAAATAAAATTAGCACTTGTCAAATCTAGGTGCCTGTTAGGGAAAACAATATTTTAAATAAAATTTTATACTTATTGAAAAAGTCCTCTGATGGTCTAGTTGAAGGCTAATCATGTTTGATCAGATTTTCAGTATACATAATTACAGTTGAATAAATCTAGTTTGTTATGTCCATATCTTTTATAATAGTTAACATAGTATATAATTATTGTTTCCCAAATAAAAAGAAATCATTTTTGGAAACCTGTTCCCTTTAGATGAAATATTTTATTTTCAACAACAAGGGTTTTGATTTGAAACTGTATCTTCTTTTCTTTTTAAATATTGAAAGTTTAGGCCAGGCGCAGTGGCTCACGCCTGTAATCCCAACACTTTGAGAGGCCAAGAAAGGTGGATCACATGAGCTCAGGAGTTCAAGACCAGCCTAGCCAACATGGCGAAACCCGTCTCTACTAAAAATACAAATATTAGCTGGGCGTGTGGCGGGCGCCTGTAGTCCCAGCTACTTAGTAGGCTGGGTCAGCAGAATCGCTTGAACCCAGGAGATGGAGATTCCTGTGAGCTGGGATTTTGCCACTGCACTGCAGCTTGGGCTACAGAGCGAGACTCCACCCACTCCTAGACACCCCCGCAACAAAAAAAAAAAAAAAAAAGAGGAAGTTTATAAGTAAGTTAAGAGGACAAACCAAACAAGAATTGCACATTATCTTATCAGGTCATTGCAACCTTTTTTTTTTTTTTAAATCATTAATGCTTATTAGAACTACTTAAACTGAATTGAAACACCTTATTTTGAACAGACACCAGGACTTTTACTAAACACAGAATTCCATATTAGAATGACTTTCATAGAAAATTATATATATGCACCCTATATATTAATTTCCCAAATTTAGGAATATTTTAATATTATAATTCACAAATAATGAGAAATCATTCCTCACTCTAGTAATCCTATTATATTTTACATTGGGATAGATAACAAAGAATTTAAAACATTGAACATTACAGTGAAAGTAGATGGATTAGGACTTTCAAAATGGATATCTAGGGAACAAAGAGAAATAGATGATACTCAGAGAAGGCAAGGCTCACTTAATCAGAAACTTCAAATTATTATGGGACATTATGTGAGTGCGAACTCTAAATTATCTGTCTTTAATATGGAGATGACTTTAAATTCTAACCTGTGCATCTGAAGTTAAAAAATGAGAGTTTCTTTGAAAGTAAGAGTAAATATATTATTGTCATATATTACTATAAAATATTGTTGAATTTCTTTCAAGAGAATTAACATCTTCACCTATCTTTAACTGAAGGTGGAGATATAGAACCCAACCTCCAATATACAATGCTCTTTGCAGAATCATGGCATAGAGAGCTTGGATTATAAAGCCAGATAGACATACTATAAGTCCCGGGCCTCATGCTACCACCTATAAACTGTTTATTTGGTTATTTTACCTTTTGGAACCGGTTTTCTCCGCTATAAAGTGGGAATAAGATAACCTTTGTCATAGGAGTAGACACTTTTTTAAACACCAAGCTGACCTGGCTCAGTGACTAACAGTGGAGTACCCAATAATGGTTCTTTTTTTCCTTCCTTCATGGTCTTCCTACAATCTGACATTTAAATCTGTATGACATTTTCATTTTCAATGCTTTTCTAAGCTATTATCTGTTTGTTGATTGTAGTTATTAGTTTAATTATCTTTGCAAATTCCCAATGCCTTCTGGATATTATCAATTCCATTTTTTCTACTATTACGTAAACCCTTGTTGAATGAGAAAGGAAACAAAACAGTTATAAAAACCCAAGCTACATGAAAATTACTAGAATTTTCTGTCTATTTTAGGTATGTATGCTTTAAGTGAGGAGCTTGAAAAATTTGAGATATGGAGAAAAAATAAGATTTGACCATCTTCTTGCAAGTAAATTAGTTTTCCTAAGGTCAAAATACGGTAATAGAGAACTTCTTACTTTTCAATTCAATATATTGCATGATATTTTAAAATATAAAACCCAGCTGTCATACTAAGTTACCCTGTCTGTGATTTAACGTTCTAATAAAGAGTAAAGTTAAAAACAGAGTCTGAAGAAATCTTACAGAGATTGCATATGTAAGAAATGATTTACTAGTTCTGTATCATCCAACCATCCACCAGGGCAACAGTAAGCGATTTGAACAAGATAATAAAATATCTTAGAAAAGTTAATTTGGACCTTAACTGTAAGTAATTACCACTCTAGAATTATTAAATTGTTTAAAAACATTCTTCACTCACAATCTGCTAGTGGTTGGTTACACTAATTCAGAAGGGGGATTAAATTAGTGCAAATATGGACAGTATTATTAAAAGCAAGAACAAATTTTCTTCCTATTTCCTAAGGACAAACAACTATGAAACTATGTGCTTTCTCCACCAATCTTTAGTTACAAGTAAAGAAATGGATAATTAGTTAATGTCTGTAGTATTAGGAAGTGGGTAGGAAACATGTTGCACGTTGGATGTAAGAAGTGTATTTCTTCATTTCACAGTGGCAGGCTTTAATCTAAATAAGTAGATAAAGGAATCCATTCCAAGGAGATGCTTTTGGATTCCACACATTAGAAGTAAATGTCAGCTTCTTTCTATTAGTTTGTATTCTCATAATTAAGTAATATGACTATGACCCTGCTGCTTATATAGCAACTCAGAAAGGGTGTCTATTTAATTGTCAGGTTATTCGTTATCACTTGTATATGGTATGGCCGAGAGGACTAAAGAATCTAAACTCATTGCTCTAATAGGAAACACTTCCCGATGTCACTG
Organism: Homo sapiens; assembly: GCF_000001405.40. Lineage (NCBI taxonomy): Eukaryota > Metazoa > Chordata > Mammalia > Primates > Hominidae > Homo > Homo sapiens. The sequence continues at coordinate 164,824,853 of NC_000005.10, forward strand.
TCATTAGATTGCTGCCACCTGAGCGAGGACAATTCAAGTAAATTGGGGGCTGTAAACCTGACGAGATGTGCTGTTAAGCCATCCCAGTGGAATCTGACACTTGATCAGCAATTTCACTGAGGAGAGGTGCACAAAGATCACCAGTATGCAAGGAAAAGCTCTATACCTGATGACCTTAGAGATTTTGTTTTCTTTCCGGAGTAAGAGAAAATGAAAGCAGGACCACAGATTAGCTACTTAACACTACAAAAATATTTCAAATACTTAAATTATTTCTTCATTCTAAACAAAAGAAAGCAAATAAACAACAAAAACAAAATCAGAACAAATGGAAGGGAAAATAGAGAAATGCTTAGAAGTGATAAACAGGAAACCCAGAATTTTCAATTACCTGAATCAAAACAAGTCAACTGATAGTAAATAATGAAGAGAATTTTCACACCCTTTCTTTCCTGAGGAATATGCATTAAATTTTATATCTGATAAGTAAACATCTGTTAAAATAGATGAGAGATTCTTTAGAAGTCGTATTCTGTCCACAGGATTGTTGCTTCCTCTGACACTAATGAATGCTTTGTACATACACATAAAAGAAATTTTTTTCCTAGTTGAGTTATTTTCATTGTGATGTGAGGCAAGACTTTTACGTGGATCTTGATGTCGATAGCTAAAATTAGAAACTTTCAAGGTGACATCAAATGAATACTTAAAAGGGATAGAGCAAATACCAAGCTGTTGACTGATTCTGCAAGATCCATTTATTAAAAATATATTCGTTTGGGGGAGTTTAACAATAGGTACACATGGACATACAGAGTGGAATAATGGACATTGGTGTCTACAGAAGATGGGAGGGTGGGAGGACGGTGAGGGTTTGTTGTTGTGCTTTCAGAAAAGTCTTTAAAGGAACATACAGAAGTAAACAGAGTGCATTTTAAAAAGGAGTAAGAGGGAAGCTCCAAAGTCCAAATTTAAAGCAAAAAAGCATTTTATGGATCTCTCTCTCCTGCCCGCTCCCGCAAAGATAGATGATTCATTGATTGATAGATAGATAGATAAGATAGATCAGATAAATGTTTTTAATAACCAACATTAAATATTTGGTGACCCAGACTCCAACAAATACAAACAAAAATTACTTAAGCAACAGCTGTCATATTTAGGAAAACAAAGGGATCACATTCAAGGAAAAGGTGGGATTAAAAGAATCAAGATATTAAGAAAAGCCTGTGCAAATGAGAATATATAAATATATAAGATTATATATGCTTGTGAACACAGAAAATCTGAGACAGGTCTCAGTTAATTTAGAAAGTTTATTTTGCCAAGGTCGAGGACGTGCCCTTGACACAGCCTCAGGAAGTCCTGATGACATGTGCCCAAGGTAGTTGGGGCACAGCTTGGTTTTATACATTTTAGGGAGACATGAGACATCAATCAATATATGTAAGAAATACATTGGTTCAGTCTGGAAAGGCGGGACAACTTGAAGCAAAGGCAGGAAGAGTCAAAGCGGGGAGGGGACTTCCAAGTCACAGATAGGTGAGACATAAACATTTGCATTCTTTTGCTTTTCTGATTAACCTTTGCAAAGGAGGCAAGCAGATATGCATCTATCTCAGTGAGCAGAGGATAACTTTGAATAGAATGGGAGCCAGGTTTCCCCTAAGCAGTTTCCAGCTTGAGTTTTCCTTAGTGATTTTTGGGGGCCCAAGATATTTTCCTTTCACATGCTTATAAATATGCATATGAACATTTAGTTATTTATGCACATAAACATATCTTTTCTTATTGTGTATTTTCTTTTATATAGTTCTATATTTGTATTAAATCCCCCAATTTTTAATAAATTCTTATTATCCTACACTTTATGTATATAATTATGTATTTTATCAGTATATAGACTGATGATATAGGAAACACTGGCAATTTGAATCCACCTTTACATCATAGACAGATAATACATAGATATAGATGAAGAGAATGTCACTGAAATATATTAATAATCAGAATTATGAATTTCCAGATGACCCAGATTTTATAACATCAGCACAGTATGTATGATGGGGTCATTTCCCTATAAAATCATAAATTATTGTGTTTGCAGGGAGGGGAGGTTATTAAGTACATTTTTTTCCCTTAAAGGATAGTCAGAAAATCTGGGTGAAGTTTGTCCATCAAAAATTCATAGAAATCTATTTTGATGATAGCCTTTTCTTTCCAAACATAAATATATATAAAAACTTTTGAGAAGAGAACTTAATAAAAAAATTAGAACATACATAAATTAATATTTTTCTAGGTGCAAATAACAGTCACTGTGAATTGGATAAATGAAACAGAAGATTTATTTGCTTACATTACTGAAAGTCTTATATTGTGCTGTGTGATGGTTAATACTGAATCTAATCAACTTGATTAGATTGAAGGATGCAAAATATTGATCCTGTATATGTCTGTGAGGGTGTTGTGAAAGGAGATTAACATTTGAGTCAGTGGACTGGGAAAAGCAGACCCATCCTTTTTCTGGGTGAGTGCCATCTAATCAGCTGCCAGCATGGCTAGACTACAAAGCGGCAGAAAAATGAGAAAAGACTATACTGGCCTAGCCTGCCAGCCTGCATCATTCTCCCATGCTGGGTACTTCCTGCCCTTGAACATGAAACTCCAAGTTCTTCAGTTTTGGGAATGAGACTGGCTTTCCTTGCTCCTCAGCTTTCAGACAGCCTATTGTGGGACCTTGTGATCATGTGAGTTGATAATAAATTCACACACACACACACACATACACACACCCTATTAGTTCTGTCCCTCTAGAGAACCCTGATTAATACAGATTTTGGTACCAGGAGTGGTTCTAGAGGAACAGAATATTAAGGATGGAGTTCTTTCGTTGGTTTTGGAGTTTCTGGAGTTGGCTGCTTAATATGATTAGACCCAAAAATACTAAGGACTCTACATCTAATAGTATGGAGAACACTGATAGTCCTTGGCATAAACTGTTTAGAGAGTTATGCAAAATAAATGCATTTGACACTCCTGATTCACTACTCACGAAAGGCAAGGAATTTAGTGGCTCTATACATAATACTTTTGATCATATTTGGAGAACCAGGGAACATAATGCAGCTGTTGCTCCTATGTTCAGTGGACAAAGTGACAAAAGAAAATGATGAAATCAGGGATTCTGTCTCCTGGCTTCAGAAGCAGATACTGAGCCTCAAATGTGCTAAGATCGCCCTGAGTCAGAGTCTTATCTCCTGTAGAGAAGGAGCTGAAATTGTGGAAAATCAGACACAAGCTCTTATCATGCGAGTGGCTGACCTGCAATAAAAGGTGGACGCACAACCTTGCCGGGAGTCTACTGTCAAAATGAGGGCATTGATTGGAAAAAGATGGGACCCTGCAAGTTGGAATGGGGATGTGTGGGAGGACCCTGATGAAGCTGGGGACACTGAGTTTGTAAACTCTGATGAAATCTTTTTGCCAGAAAAAACAGCGTCCCCATCCCCAGTAGTGGCAACATTCCCTCCCCAACCCAGGCTGCCATCAGCCTTTCCACCTTTGTCTGAGGAGATAAACCCTGCACTGCCTGAGGCAACAGTGATGGCCTCCCCTGAGGCAGTTGCCAGGCAAGATAATGTTAATTCTCTTCATGAGCCACCCCCAACACCCCTGTTTGCTTCTAGACATATAACTAGACTAAAGTCCTGGTGGGCCCCTATAGGTGAGGTTGAGAGTGTGACCCATGAGGAGGTATACTACACTCAAAAAGAACTGCTTGAGTTTTCAAATTTATATAAATAGAAATCTGGACAACAGGCACGGAAATGGATATTAAGGGTGTGGGATAATGGTGGAAGGACATAGAGTTGGATCAGGCTGAACTTATTGATTTGGGTCTACCAAGTAGGGACTCTGCATTTAATGTTGCAGCTCAGGGAGTTAAAAAAGGTTCTAATAGTTTGCTTGCTTGGTTAGCTGAAATATGGATTAAAAGATGGCCCACTGTGAGCGAGCTGGAAATGCCTGATCTTGCTTGGTTTAATGTAGAGGAGGGGATTCAAAGGCTTAGGGAAATTGGGATGGTGGAGTGGATAAGTCACTTTAGACCTACTCATCCCAGCTGGGAGGGTCCAGAAGATATGCCCCTGACCAATGCCTTGTGAAATAGATTTGTGAGGGCAGCACTTGCATCTTTGAAGAGCCCTGTAATTGCTCTTCTCTGTATGTAAGATTGAACAGTGGGAATCACAGTCACTCAATTACCAAATTTAAATATAATGAAAATATTTGGATTCTGGGGTGGGGTGGGTGGGGGGCGGGCAGTGGCAGAGGCCAGGTGGCAGCACTCAACCATCAAAGACAAGGTGAGCCTAGCTATCGTAATGGACAACAGAGGCAAAGCGGCAATCAGAATAGCCTGACTCATGTAGAACTCTGGCATTGGCTAATTAATCACAGTGTTCCTAGAAGTAAAATTGATAGGAAGCCTACTCCATTCCTACTTAATTTATATAAGGAGAAAACTTCTAGGTCGAATGGACAAAAGACTAATTTGAAGTATAAAAAGAGAGACTCATGGCCCCTCAATCAATTTCCAGACTTGAGCCAGTTTACAGACCCAGAACCCCTTGAATGAAAGGGAAGCTGAGTCCTTTGAGGAAGGACCCCACTACACTACCTACAATTTGTGCTGTTAATCTTTCTCCCATCCTTCCCCAAGGAGACCTCCGGCCTTTTACCAGGGTAACTGGTAAAAAGGTGACAATACTTTGCAGGGCTGGGGCAAAGTTCTCCAGAAGGCCGTGTATACTCTGAATCAGTGTCCAGTATATAGTACTGTTTCTCCCTTGGCCAGGATTCACAGGTCCAGGAATCAGAGGTGGAAGTGGAAGTGGCACCACTCTCCTTCACTCCTAGTAATCCACCAGCAAAATTTTTGTTTCCTGTCTTCATGACATTATGTTCTGCTGGCCTAGTGTTCGTAGTTCCAGAGGAAGGAATGCTGCCACCAGGAGACACAACAATGATTCCATTAAACTGGAAGTTAAGATTGTCATCTGGACACTTTGGGCTCCTCTTACCTTTAAGTCAACAGGCTAAGAAGGGAGTTACAGTGTTGGCTGGAGTGATTGACCCGGGCTATCAAGATGAAATCAGTCTACTACTCCACAATGGAAGTGAGGAAGAGTACACATGGAATACAAGAGATACATTAGGGCATCTCTTAGTATTACCATGCCCTGTGATTAAGGTCAATGGGAAACTACAATAGCCCAATCCAGGCAGGACTACAAATGGCCCAGACCCTTCAGAAATGAAGGTTTGGGTCATTCTGCTAGGAAAAAAACCATGACCTGCTGAAGTGCTTGCTGAAGGCAAAGGGAATACAGAATGGGTAGTAGAAGAAGGTAGTCATCGATACCAACTATGACAACGTGACCAGCTGCAGAAATGAGCACTGTAATTTTCATGAATTTCCTCCTTTTTTTGTTAAAAACATGTTTGTGCATGTATACACTTGTACTAAGAAAATATCTTCATTTTATTTCCTTTTTATTTTATTATGTGAGATAAGATTTATTGACTTCATATCAGCATTTAAGTATTGTTAACCTATGTAATAGTATTTGGGTTGGGGATTGGTGCATTTATGGTTGTACAAAGGATAGTTGTATTATGTTAGGTGTAATTATGACCTTATGGTTGTCTTTATTTGAAGATTATGTATGCTCTCAGGAGATGTGTATGGCTTCAAATTGACAAGGGGTGGACTTGGGATAGTTAATACTGAGTGTCAACTTGATTGGATTGAAGGAAGATGAATCCTTCAGTTGATCCTGGGTATGTCTGTGAGGGTGTTGCCAAAGGAGATTAACATTTGAGTCAGTGGGCTGGGAAAGGCAGACCCACCCTTAATCTGGGTAGGTACCGTCTAATCAGCTGCCAGCATGGCTAGAATATAAAGCAGGTAGGAAAAAAAAAAAAAAAAAAACAAAAAATAAAAACGTGAAAAGACTAGACTGGCTTAGCCTTCCAGCCTACATCTTTCTCCATGCTGGACCCTTCCTGCCCTTGAACATCAGACTCCACATTCTTCAGTTTTGGGACTTGGACTGGCTTTCCTTGCTCCTCAGCTTTCAGACAGCCTATTGTGGGATCTTGTGATTGTGTGAGGTAATATATATGGGAGTTTATTAAATATTACCTCACACAATCACAAGGATATATATCTATCCTATCAGTTCTGTCCCTCTACAGAACCCTGACTAATACATGCTGGTTTCAGATATGGATAAATTCAGGGTCTCAATGTATATTAGCAAGCTCTCACCATAACTGTGTTCATTTTTCCTCTACAAGGGTTTAACTTTTAAACAAGCTTACTGTAAAATTGCAGTAAGGTTGCTGACTTACAGCCTTAAAATACCTCCTCACAATTCAAACTGGAATTACAGGACTACATTTGATAGGTTCATCTGGAGTCATTTGCCACATTTGGGGGTGTGTAAGGCAGCAAGTGGCTTAGGCCCAGGTCGCAGGCTCTCCCTTTATCTAAGGGTTAATTCAGTCCTACTTCAATTATGAGGGCTAACAGTGCAGAGGAAATATGCCCTGAGACAAATTTGTAGTAATGTTACAACTATTTGGAAATGAATATAGGAAGAAAAGATGAACTACCATAAAAGCAAACAATGTGATGAAGAATGCCTATGTGTACAATGAGAATGTATGAATGTTCAGCAGGAAATTAAAGAATAAAAAATTAGCAATATTGCCACAGTAATTTTTGTCAAGCCACATTGTTCTCATTTTACTAAAATGATTTTAAAATTTACAGATTTCTTTTTACAGTTTCAAATAAACCTGAGTAGACTTGTCTTTTGAGGAAAGCCAAAATATAGTAAATAGCAGCTTTGGAAATATCCAGCCTCTAGTTGTGACTGGTATTGTGTTTTGCTTTCTTCATTTAAAGCCTCATTCAACTTTATTCCTACTTGACTCTTTGCTTTACAGACTAATTTATCATTTTTTTAAAGGAACTCTCCTCTTTCTCCAAGCAGTGATCTGATTCTGACATTCCTTTTGCTTGTCTTTACTGAATTAGTATTGATTTTACAACACATTGTATTGTTAGAAGAAAAACCCTTTGGTTTAACACTTTCACTAAAATGTTGCTAAATGAATATAATATGCTATTGCCATGTTGATCATGTTTTGCTCAATGTTTAACTCCATTCATTAGAGTGGGGCTGTACAGCATTTGGAATGACCACAAAACACATAGATGGCTATGTTCCTTGCACCCAGTCCATTCCCATTTTCTATGCCCAAGATTATTCCAGTGTGGGCAGCATTCTTAGATAATTCAGAATGGTATTACAGTGCCATTAAACAAGAAAATAGAAAGTGGAATTCACTCTCTTTTGCAAAATAAATTATTCACAAAATTTGGTACATTAACTATAGAGGTAGTTAATTTCAGAATGCACATTTTACAACTCTGTAATAATAATCAGTTATCTAATATGACCATTGATTGCCCAATTTTACTTTAGTAGAGTTGTTAGCCATGACACACCTCTTTGCTGAAATTTCTAATAGATTGTAAGTAACTAAAGGGAAACCAAGGTGGTTTTCTGAAAAAAATTCTCCAGGCTAACATGTCACTCACGGAATAATAACCTGGAGTGGATGACAGTTCTCACACCAAGCTGCTTGACATCTGAACAGCTGCCAATGCCCTAGGAAATGTCACACCATCAGATACAGGCTCTGAGTGGGTGAGCAGCAAAGATGTATCTGGTAGAGGCCAGCACCCCAGGCCAGAGCTAGCACCCCAGGCCCCGTCATCCCATAAGTTTGAAGCCTGAGTTGAGCTGTCAGTTTAATAAATGAATAGCCTCTTTGTTTTGATCAGCATTGTCAAGGCTTATTTCAAAAAGGGACTGCGATTCCTCTCACAGACTAGCGCAGCCAAAGTCAATTGGCACAATTTCAAGGTGAATTTATTCATTCTTTATAAAGTTCTGTGCGCGAATATATCAAGACAGTTGAATAAATTGAAATAAATAGACTTGGAGTTACATATTCTCCCTGTAATTGAAATAGTTTCCCCCCAATATATTTATAGTAATAATTCTACCTTTACGAAACCTAGTCTAGCTACAGAAAGGAAAGCATAGAATTACCATTTTGATAACATATTTGGAAAATGCAACTGGGGCTAATATGTTGATAAGGGCACCTGAAAGTTGTCCTTGCCTTTAACTATCCCATGTTAAACTTTGAATAAAGCACAGCTTTACCACTTGATAAAGATGCCTGATTAGCCTGCATTGATGTGCAAATATTTACCTTGAATTTGGTCATTCTAAAGAGAAGTGCCCAAACGCTAGCTCTTTCTGTCTGCTTCATAGTACTTTGAATTTAAGTTATATATAGGACACTGAAATAAACAAAACACACACACACACACACACACACACACACACACAAAACAAAAGGCAGCAGCAGTGTTGATGTCCATCAGAAACGAGGAAGTCTATATGTTGTATAAAATTAATTTAACATGGGTCACCGTAGAGGCCACCGTTATGATTACTAATAATATCCAGTAGTTTTAACTTGTGGCTCCAAGATTTACTTCATTTTTTGAAACTTTTTTACTTATTTTGCAAACAAATGTACTCTGAGTCATAGTCAGCAAGGGTTACTGTAACAAAAAGCTCTCCTGGTTACAGTAGAAAAACCTCAAGTTTATCTGCATGTGATGGAGGGAGGAATTAATCTGGAACACTTACAGCATGCTGTTCTTAAAAGGATTTTCAAAGTATAAAATATCTTATCTAGAAAGTTTGGTTCCTCTTAAAATCATCAATAAGCCCTGGGAAATGCGGCAATCTGAGGTTTGGGAAGGAAAATGCTTTGACTTGATAATGAAGGACACCTGGGAGTGATTGGCGTTTGCTCACAGAAAAGTCAAATAATTGAGGTATAATGATGAGAAGGGGTTTAGAGAACAACTTAGTCCAATGCTAATCCTTTGAAAACTTAAAGCGATGTCTATGATTTTTTTTCCCCCAGTGACAAGCAATCTATAAAAGTGATCAAACCGATCAACTGAGAATGCCATTTCTCTCCCTTTATCACTGTTTATCTCATTCTTTTAAAGCAAACTGAAGCTCCCTCTCCTATCCATCAGTGTGTATATAAGCTCTGATGTGTGACCCATGGGCAAATTAGCATTTCTTAGCCCTGCCTGGAACATTATTTCATAAAACATAAACAATAAGTGTGTGAGTTACAGTCAGTCTGAGGAGATGTATGGCTTGAATAACATAAATTGCAAAAGGATATTTTTACTTCTGTGTCATTAAATATATATATATATATATATATATATATATATATATATATATAGCCAAGTAAGTTGTTATTGATTACAAGTCTTTTTTCATAGTTCTCCCAGTAAAGCCCAAGTGTATGAGCTGAAAACCTGAGCTCCAATTTTAGTAGATGAATATCTATACACTCGTAACATATTATCAAAGCAGTACCTTATTTGACGGTGAATAGAGATCATATTAATTTCAGAGTTCATCCTAACCCTAAGCAAAAGGGCATCTGTGGGGTCTGGAAGGAATAGCCATGGTGCCTTAGATGTAGAGGCTCTCTTGATGGTTTAAACTACTTGTTTTTATTTTTTATAATTTTTTTTCCTTTTCTTTTAGAGACAAGGTCTCTATGTTGTCCAGGCTGGTCTCAGACTCCTGACCTCAAGACATCCTCCTGCCTCAGCGTCCAGAGTAGCTGGGTTCCAGGCATGAGCCACCATGCCCAGCTCCCAAGCTACTTGTTGATTATCAAAATTTTAATAAGGGAAGCACTGCTGAGGAATAAATGACTTTAAACTCTAAGAACAAGTTGAGGCCATGAAAGTTGTAGGCACCTTCCATTTGTAGAGTCTACATTGTATCTGAACATAAAATAACCCCTTGAATAAAGAATTACAATGATATTACCTCAGGAGACCCTGCCTGAAAGACATAGTAGTTTTTCTTTTTTTTTTTTTTTTTTTTTTTTTTTTTTTGAGACAGAGTCTCGCTCTGTCACCCAGGCTGGAGTGCAATGGCTTGCTTGCTGTGACCTCTGCCTCCCGGGTTCAAGCAATTCTCCTGCCTCAGCCTCCCAAGTAGCTGGGATTACAGGTGCCCACCACCATGCCCGGCTAATTTTTTGTATTTTTAGTAGGGACGGGGTTTCGCCATGTTGGCCAGGCTGGTCTCAAACTCCTGACCTCAGGTGATCCACCCGCCTCAGCCTCCCAAAGTATTGGGATTACATACATGAGCCACTGCACCCGGAAGACATAGCAGTTTTTCATTGCCCATGTTTCTTGCCTTTCTTAAGCTGAAAATAAGCAGTTAGTATTTTCAGGGGATTCTTCAGGGAGTTTTTAATATAAGAATTTGAATTTGAGTCCTTTTCTTACCAGACAAAGAACTTTTAGTAATTTGTGGTTGTATTACTGATGGCTATCCAATTTCTCTTGTAATACTGGTAGAAGCATCCTGCTGTTCCATTATTTAGAGCTTCAAAAAACCTCTAGAATATGGGTCAGCAAACTTTTTTGGTAAAAAGACGGATCATAAATGTTTGAGTCTTTGTAGTCTCTGTTGCAACAACTCAACTCTCCAGCTGTGCTGTTGTAGTGTGAAAGCAGTTATAGATAATATGTAAATGAATGAACGCGGTTATGTTCCAATAAAACTTTATTTACAGAAACCTGGCCGGGCATGGTGGCTCATGCCTGTAATCCCAGCGCTTTGGGAGGCCGAGGCAGGCAGATTACCTGGAGTCAGGAGTTCGAGACCAGCCTGGCCAACACGATGAAAACCCATCTCTACTAAAAATTCAAAAATTAACTGAGCATGGTGGTGTGTGCCTGTAGTCCCAGCTACTCGGGAGGCTGAGGCATGAGAATTGCTTGAACCCAGGAGGAGGAGGCTGCAGTGAGCCGAGATCATGCCACTGCACTCCAGCCTGGGTGAGAGAGCGACTCTGTCTCAAAACAAACAAACAGACAAACAAAAAATGTTATTTACAGAAACCTATGGTAGGATGGAGTTGGTCTCTAGCCTGTTGTCATCCCCTGATATAGAATAGAAAATATGTAGGAAATGAGACTCTGTTGTTCTAATTCACATCAATAAATTAATGCAATCTATTGTTACCCCTTGGAGTTGAGATAATTCTTATTTATTTATTTATTTATTTTTTTTGAGACAGGCTCTCACTCTGTCACCCATGCTGGAGTGCAGTGGTGCAATCAAGTTGTCCTCCCACCTCAGCCTATGGCGTAGCTGGGACTATGGGCACATGCCACCATGCCTGTCTAATTTTTTTTAACTTATTTTTTTATAGAGAAAGAGTCTTGCTATGTTGCCCAGGCTGGTCTTGAACTCCTGGACTCAAGCAACCCTCCCACCTTGGCTTTCCAAAGTGCTCAATTGCAGGAATGAGCCTATGTCCCAGGCCTGGGATAATTCCTGACTAAGACTTATACTACCTTATTTTGCTCTTTAACACTCCTGTTAATCTAATCAACCAACTCAAAACTAGACAACAAAATACCAGTCAAATGTTAGATCTCAGTGTTTGTTAGCAGGTCTCAATATAATTAAGGTTCTTCAGTCACCAAAACTTTTACTGAACTCATCCAATCATCAAATTTTTTAGAGGACCTGCTGTGGGCTAGACAGGAGAGATTATAATGTCTCCATCACGGAACAAAACAAAATCAAACCACCAAATAAACAAATTATTTACATTGTAACCAGTGTTTTATAGAAAGAAAACTAAGGGGCTGTTATTGAGAATAGTGTGATGGGGATTGTACTTTCTATTGAGTGGTTTAGGAACCTTTTACCTTTTTCTTTTATTGGTTAGAAATAAAGGCAAAATAGGGCGTTGCTTGAGCATAATTTCAGTGGCAAGAATGGACTAATTAAATTAGGACATTTTAGAAAAATAAGTAATTTCCTCAGTAGGTAAATGTGACAAAATTCAAAAGGTGCAAAAATATATAAAGTAAATTTTCTCCCCGACCGCCCTTAACTACTCAGTTTCCCTTGCTAAAGGAAATACTATTATCAGTTTTTAAAATTCATTATATATATATGAATATATATTTACACACAGACACACACATACTAGAAAATCAGACTTGGAAGATAGATATATCAATTTCCTGCCTTTGTTATGTATTCATACTTCAGCATATACAAGCTCACTGCTACATTTAGAACTTTAATGATGGGTACTTTATATATTTCTAATTAAATACTATTATACAGTGTAGCAATAAAATTATTCACACTTAAAATTTTGCATGAGATATCTGTGTTAAGGGGCAATGGTTGATAAGTCTGTCACTTTTCTGAATATCCTGCAACCAGAGGAGTTAACTGCTGTTTTATTCCAGACTGTCTTATCAATGATGTTTTTATGACAAACACCCTAAAGATGGAGATGATGTCTCCCTCTGGAAACAAAGCAGATGTATTTACTGGTTAGCATAAAAGTTTCAGACTTCCTAAGCTCAAAGCTCCTCAGCTCTGAAGCAAACCCACCACAAAGGCTGCCCCTCCATGTTGCCCCTGTGGAACTTGAAAGGACAGAGGGAACTGTTGAGAACATGCATCTTGTGCAGCTTTCTGTCCCATGCATGATACTGCTGTGTATCTCTGGCCCAGGAGTCTCCAACCTTCTGCCAACATACGTGAAACTGTGACAGGCGATTTGTTAGCTCAGAAGTAAGGAAAAAAATATCAGATTCTTTAAAGTTTGTAATTATCTGTGGGATAAATTCCTAGAATGAAAATTGTTTAGCTAAAGATTAAATGCATTATAAATACATGTTGATCATTACATTAATATCAACATATATTAATAGCAACATATAATCTCTTCCTCCAATCTCGCTAACAAGTTGTATTACCTAACTTGATATTTGCCAGCTTGTTAAGTAAAAATAACATCTGATTGTATTTTTATTTTGCATTTTACAATGAATGACTCTAAATATTAACTCAAGTACTTAATCACTGTTTATATATATATATACATTTCTCTGGAATTCTCTATTTCTATCCTTCCTCATTTTTCTGCTGGTTTTTCTTACTGATTATTTAGAGCTCTTAAGGTATTAACAAATTAAATTTTTGTATATCAGACATTTATACATATTTCCCTGCAATATTCTATTGCCTTTTTACTTTAAGTTTCCTTTTAGGAATAATTTTTTTAAATTTTAAGCAGACAAATTTATCAATATTCTCTTTAATGGCTCCTAAATTTATGTGATATTAAGGCCTTTCCTACTCAAATATTATGTAAAAACTAGGTTTTGCTGCTTGTTGTACCTTTCTGATTTTATTTTCCACATTTAAATCTTTGATCCATCCACAATGTATTTTTGAGTAAGGATTAAGATATAGATCCATCTGCTTTCTTTTCCAGAATTAGGGTATTTTTGAAATAATCAACACCATGTTAGAAATCTTAATTGAGATTTGAAACAAAAAAGAATTTCCTCAAGAATAACTTAATCACACACTCGAGATAAACTATTAACTGAATTTACTAAACCATTAAATTAAACATTTCAACTAATTACCAAGATAGTACTGAATTTTAAGATTTGCTTTGGCCACCAGGCCTTCTTCACAGAGGGAGGGGATTGGCACATACTCTCTAGTGAGGTCATTTGCAGAACTTTGATTTCGATCATCCTTCCTCCTTTTCTTTCCTATTTCCTCCCTCCTTCCCTTTCTGTTCCCTTCTGTCCTTACTTATTTCCCCCTTGCTTTCTTTCCTTCCGCCTTCATTTTCCTCTCCCCTTCCCTTCCCTTCCCTCCCCCGCTCCCCTTCCCCCCTCCCTCTTCATTCCTCCTTCCTATTTCATGAATCAGACAAATCTCCCTCAAAGACCCATGACTACTGTCTATTGCAGAGCCGGTGCTTCCCATGCACATGTTTCTGTGTATCACTTTTTTTTTGTCTCTAGATTCCTTCTTCTGTGTCTTTCTGTGTTCAGCATTTCTCTACTTTTCCCATTGCACTGTTTCTTTCCTTTCCTGCTTTGGTGAGATGACCCCTCTGCATAGCCCTGAACTGCTGCTGCTTTCAGAAAACCTGTATCTCCTTCTGCTTTCTGGGCTCTTCTTACTCTACAGCAACTTTGTCCAACCTGTGACCCATGGGCCACATGCGGCCCATGACAACTTTGCAAGCTGCTCAACACAAATTCATAAACTTTCTTAAAACATTAAGAGATTTTGTTTGCGATTTTATTTTTTAGTTCATTAGCTATAGTTCGTGTTAGTGTATTTCAGGTGTGGCCCAAGACAATTCTTCTTCTTCCACTGTGGCCCAGGGAAGTCACAAGATTAGACATCCTTGCCTACAGATTCATTGCCTAAAAAGTGATTTATTTCTCACTAAAACTTTCTGGGACATTTCCTCAGGAAAAAAGATTGCAAATAAGCTTAAGTATTTTCTTCTTTTTTTTAGCTTTGTCTTTCAGGGTTGTTTATTATTGTTTATTTAATTTTATTTTTTAATGTTTGTAACTCAGCTACCCCCTTCATGTATGATTATATTTATTTTGCAATCATGAAAAAGACTATGATATTTTTGGTTAAAAGACCACTACTGCTATATCTTTAGCAAATGTTTTTGCTTTGTTACCTCTATATCAAATAGTCTGATTAAGTGATTTATGTATGTTCACTCAGATTATAATTCCTTTTCTTCAGACAAGCAATATGACCTTAAGTATAGAAATTATTATCTCTGCTGCCTTTACAGCCTCCTGACCACTTCTTCCTGGGCTGTGTCTCCCATAATAGTTCTTGTCATAACAACTCTTTAACTTCTACTGTTCAAATGTGCGGTCTTTATTTCAGGCCAGATGAGCATTTTCTATTTCTTTACCAGAACTCCAACAACACTTCATTCTTCATCTATTCTTATTCTTCTCAGGGCAAAGAAACCCTTGCCCCACCATCACCATTTATTCTGTTGATAATTAATCAAAGTATAAAATTTAATTTTAACAGTTACTTCTATATTTCCTTTCAGTTGTTTTATTCCATGCAAACCTATAGGAATATTATGAAAAACAGGTAAATGGTGAGAATATGTGCATTCTAAATACAGGTCTGTTAAATGAGTGATGATGGACCTAATGGAATTGAAGTGTCTCCATCAGAAATACAAGCAAGCTTCACCAGATCTGCAGTTTTTGATGATTCTATCCGGGAACCTCAGTGTTCGCCATCAGGGTCCCATGACCGGGCGTGCAGGATGTGTGGTGCACCACAGTGACACTCTACATCATAGAAATCGAGCATTTGTTTGGATAGTCCAAAAAAAATTGGCAGATGAAAATATGAAGTGATTTTATAACAAAAAAGTTATACTAGCTTCCTACAGATAGACTAGTTGTGGAAGGGACATCTTTTCCCAATACACACAAAGGCTCCATATGGACCAACAGAGTCTCTGCTCAGCCTCAGAGGGTGAAGCGAGGCACCAGGAGGTTCCTCATCATCTATTTCCACCAGGCTGCCGCTGCGATTATCTTTGTATGTGTAGGAGTTTCTTGGAAGACTAACTTGAACAAAAATTCTGCTAACAATAAACAAAGAAAAAAGAAACTTAAAGAAAAAAAAGAGAGAGAAAATACTTTTGAACTAGATAATATTTAATGAAATTTCGGCTCTAGAGTTCTTTGACTATATGACTCAGTGATAATAAATAAATCTACATATAAGATGTATATATATAAGATGTGTATATATATATATATATATATACAACTTACATGTAACATGTATAACATATAACTTAAATGTGGGTTTATTGGTAATAGTATGAGAGACAACAAACTAGGATCTTTCCTATATAATCATGTAATCTATCTATCTATATTTATATAGAGAGAGAGTTAGCACTTTAACAACTAGGGAAAACTGTTACAGGATATTCTCTCCTTCAGGCAGTACATCTCCAACAAGTTCTTAAATTATTTTAGGAGACGTTATTTTTATTATTTAGGAGACTAGAAAAGTGAGATTTTGGGTTTCTTAAGAAGTTAAGAGTTTCTCCATATATACAGATCATTCTTTTTCATATGCTGACACTGAAGCTAAACCATAGCTCTCTACTATGAAAATTTGTTTTTTTGTTGTATTCTAAGTGTAAACTAGTGTTTAGTGACATTAGCTTATGTATGCATTAACACTCTTGTGATCTTATCATTTTGAATAAAAATTGTACCATTTCATATAGCTAAAGCAAATATATTAATATATTGTTGTACTTGTTTTCAACACATTCTAATAAGCAATTATTTCTCTTTTTCAGACTGTAAGTTGAAATAGACTAAATCACATTTTTTAATAGTATTAAAATGTGTTTTTAATTTTAGGTTTGAAGTTAGGTCTTGTAACCAAGAAAAATGTCCTATTAAATTCTAAAGTAATTAAGAATTTGTTAAAATAATTGGAAATTCAATGAAATTGGCAAAAAATGAACTGAAAATCAGTATTTTTAGAGAACTAGTATGAAAGGACTTTGTACACTGTGGTGAGAGTTTCAATTAGCATAACATTGCTAACATAATTTTTCAGTATTTATCAAGACCCTTAAAAATACGTATTTATGAAATTGTATCTTTAAGCGGTATTAAGAGATTAGAAGAAATATGTATGTAATGTATTTATTATATTAGAAAAAAATTTATTAGGAGAACGGATGATATGGGTAATATGTAAAATATAGTATCTTTCAGTCATCAAAATGTTATTCAAAAATATTTAAGATGTGTGTGCTAAAATCATTTTAAGCTAAAAATTAGCATTATAGTATATATAGTAATATGACTATAATTTTCAAAAATTCCATACAAATGCTGAAAACTGGAGAAAAGCATAATCATCAAAATATTTTTAATAGTTAAAATATTATAATGCCATTACATATTTTTCCTTCTTTACAGTTTTATTTTTCAAAAATTTAATGACATTTACAGTAAGAAAAATAAATTATAAATATTAATTTAAAAAATTGAGGATTCTGTATTAAACATTTATATGAAAAATCTGGATTTTTGTTACTCTGAAGAAAGTATCATTTGAAAGGCTTATTATTTATATCATTCAAGGTAATATTTTTGCTTAACAAGCTATATTTACTGTACATCTCCAGATTTCTGAACCGGCAAGTTTGGTAATTACCACCAGATAAATGTGGGTTTATTGGTAATAGTATGAGAGACAATGAACTAGGGTCTTTCCTGGACATGGGAAGAGAAGAAAGCACACGTTTCCTCTCATGCAAGTCACTTCTTCCTCCTCTTTTTTCCCTTCTCCTTTTTCTTTTTTTCTTCCTCTTCTTGCTCTTTTTTTTGTCTTTGTTTTTCTTCTCCTTTTTAGATAGTGTGTTTGAATGATATTGCATTGACACTAATAACAAATTTCATCCATTTGTTCAACTCTGTTCAGCCTATTCCAAATTTGCACAGGAATTTATGGAACCCTAAGGTGTGGTATCAGTCCTGTGAACTCATTCCTTCTGCTCTTGCTGGATACTCTGAAATTTGGCTGCTCATCAGTCCATTCCAACATCAACACGACGTAGTCTTCTGCCTCCACTCCATCAAGTGTGAGAGATTCTCTTGGTCTGAATAATATATGATCATAGTACCTGCTTCCTAGACATTGTTCGCTAGCCTCTCCATCTTCTGTCTGGAGGCTGTAGCCTCCTACTTATCCTTTGTGCTTCTAATTTTGTTCCACCTCTCCCCATTCTCTCTTCTTAAGCAAGCAGTTACTTTTTTTTTTTTTTTTTTTTAAACACAGGGCCTCGCTTAGTCACCCAGGCTGGAGTGAGTGCAGTGGTGCAATCATGGCTCACTGCACCCTCTAGCTCCTGGACTCCGGTGATTCTCCCACCTCAGCCTCCCAAGTAGCTGGGACTACAGGCTTGTGCCCACACATCCGGCTCTTTTTTTTTCTTTTCTTTTTTTTGCTAGAGATGGGATCTCACTATGTTGCCCACAATGGTCTTGAACCCCTGGCCTTAAGCAGTCCTCCTGCCCAACCTCCCAAAGTGTTGAGATGTCAGGCATGAGCCATTGTACCTGCCCAACAATACTTACTTTTTAAGATAAACATAATACTGTGCCATTCCTCTGCTCAGACACATCCGATGATTTCCCTCACCATTAGAAAAATATTTGCCATCCTCACTTTGTCCTGGACTGAGAGTTCCTTGATGTAGCCTGACTACCTCACTAGCATTGTATCCCACCATTCTTCTTACTGGGCTCAGCCACTCTGATTTCCTTTCCTGAGCATTTCAAACAGAATTCCATATCAGGCACTTTGCACTTGCTCTTCCTTCTGTGTGAAATGTTCTTACTCTATATATTTTCAAGATTCATTTCTCTTCTTAACTCAGACTTTGATTAAAATGAAACAACCACTTGAGAAATTCTTTCCTTAGTCAACTTTATCCAAAACTTCCCCTTGCCACTCACTCTCTGTCCTTTTAATCTGAGTTACTTTTCTTTAAAACATTTACCACTACTTAATCCATTTGTTCAGTTATTCATTTTGAAGCAACAAAAACTACCTGCAATAGTTACAAGTGGGTTACCTTTGCTCAGTGTGTGCCCGAAAACTTGGAGATCTTGGGTTATACCACTAGAAAGTCAGCTCCATGAAGATCATGATTTTGTGTGTGTGTGTTTTCACTAGTTTCGTGCTTGGTATATGGTAGTTGAGAAAATATTCATGGGAAAGAACAGGGTTTCTCAATCTTCATAGTATTGATACTTTGGGCTTTATCCATCTTTACAGTATAGATACTTTTAGGTACTTAATTTACCTAAAAAATGATAATTTTTTGGGTAGAGGTGGGGAAATGTCCTGTGCATTGTAGGATATTTAGTAGCATCCCTAGGTGTCAATAGACCCTTCACTCATTACAAACAAAAATATCTCTTGACATTGCCAAATATTTGCTGGGGAAGAAAATCACTCCTTAGATGATAAAGACTGAAGCAGAAGAATAAATTGGGGACATGCAGTTCTCCTGGTGCTGCTGATATGGCTGTTGCTCTATGGCCACAGTGACGTTTCTACTAATTCTGTGACATTTTCTCCCCAGTATCATCTTTTCTCTGGAGCAGTAACAGCCAACTATGTTGTAATGAAATTGTTCAAACCTAAGCGAAAGCACTGGTTTGATATTTTCATAGTAGATGTTAAAAAAAAAACTGTCAAGATCTCTCCTCAAATTTTAACCATTTACTTAAGAAAATCCCAGCATGACTATTAATTTTATCCAAAATTTTTAGAGGTTTAACCCATTTCCACCCCTTGAACACTGTGGACTTTCGGATGTTGGCATGAAAACCTGCTGACTTGGATATTAATGGCTTACTTTACCTCAGAGACGCCGTCGTCTAAATTCTATTCATTTTCTCCTCCCTCCATGTCTGAAGTTCCAGGATCTTCCTTGTCATGGAAGAACCAATTTCTCTCACAGCTAACTTCCTTTTGGTTCCTTGACTTTGTCTCATGCTGGTCCAGTTGCTCCCTGTGCCTTTTGCTGACATAGCAGGAAAAGGTTGTGTCTAGAACGTGCTTATGGTTGACAGAGATGACTCTGCTGAGTTATGCAGAGATGCTGAACTCTCTCCTATGCTTGAGCTCCTTCTCCATTATTGGAGAGAGAAGAGTATTTGAGGATAATTAGAATTAGTCATGACTTTAGCTTTCCAACAACGAATACCCTCATACTGCAACCTACAAAAACCACACAAGGAAGCAAACAGTAAAACCAAAACAAAATAAAAACAGTTCTACTACAGGTGTGCATTATTCAACTTTCACATATTGTTCAACCTCCAAACAAATACATGAAAAAAATTATAAAGCATATAGAGAAGTATGAACTGTGTCTGTTTCCTTTGTTTGCTTTCTGGAATAGGTGTATGGTAGGCATTGTTTATTCTTTTTACTTCTATTTCAATTTTTTCATTCTTGTTACTTTTAACTTTTATTTATGTATTTCTTTATTTAATGTTTTTAAAAAATTTTTTTTAAAACTTTTAGTTTCAGGGGTACATGTGCATGTTGGTTCTACAGGTGAGTTGTGTGTCATGGGGGTTTGGCGTACATATAATTTTGTCACCCAGGTGTAATAATAAGCATAATATCCAATAGGTAGTTTTTTTTAACCCTCACCCTTCTCTCACCCTCCACCCTCAAGTAGGCCCCAGTGTCTTGCCATTACTGTCTTTGTGTCCCTGTGTACTCAATGTTAACACTCACTTATAAGTGAAAACATGTGATATTTGGTTTGCTGTTCCTGTGTTAATTCACTTAGGAAAATAGCCTCCAGCTCCATCCATGTAGCTGCAAAGGATATTATCTCATTTTTTTATAGCTATATTGTAAGTATTCCGTGGTGTATATGTACCACATTTCCTTTATCCAGTTTACTGTTGATGGGCATTTTGGTTGATTCCATGTCTTTGCTATTGTGAATAGTCCTGTGATGAACATATGCATGCATGTGTCTTTTTTTTTTTTTTTTTTTTTTTTTTTTGAAACGGAGTCTTGCTCTGTCGCCCAGGCTGGAGTGCAGTGGTGCAATTTTGGCTCAATGCAAGCTCTGCCTCCTGGGTTCACGCCATTCTCCTGCCTCAGCCTTCCAAGTAGCCAGGACTACAGGCGCCTGCCATCACGCCCAGCTAATTTTTTGTATTTTTAGTAGAGATGGGGTTTCACCATGTTAGCAAGGATGGTCTCGATCTCCTGACCTCATGATCCGCCTGTCTCAGCCTCCCAAAATGCTGGGATTACAGGCATGAGCCATTGCGCCTGGCCACATGTGTCTTTATGGTAGAACAATTTATTTTCATTGGGGTATATAGCAAATAATGAGATTGCTGGGTCAAATGGTGGTTTTAAGTTTTTTGAGAAATCACCAAACTGCTTTTTACAGTGGCTAAACTAATTTACATTCCTACCAGCAGAGTATGTGTTCCTTTTTCTCTGTAGCATCACCAGCATCTGTTATTTGTTGACTTTTTAATAATAGTCATTCTGACTGGTATTAGATCATTGTGGTTTTGATATGCATTTCTCTAATGACTATTGATGTTGAGCATTTTTTCATATGCCCTTGATTGTATATAAATCTTTTGAGAATTGTCTGTTCATGTCTTTTGTCCAGTTTTTAATGGGGTTGTTTGTTTTGTGCTTGTTAATTTGTTTAAGTTCCTTATAGATTCTGGATATTAGGCATTTCTCAGATGCATAGTTTGAAATAGTTTCTCCCATTCTGTGTGTTGTCTCTTTACTCTGTTGATAGTCATTTGTTGTGCAGAAGCTCTTTAGTTTAATTAGGTCCTATTTGTCAATTTTTGTTTTTGTTACAATTACTTTTGGCATCTTTGTCATAAAATCTTTGCTAGGGCCTATGTCTAGAATGGTATTTCCTCGGTTTTCTTCAAGAGTTTTTATAGTTTTAGGTTTTGCATTTAAGTCTTTAATCCATTGTGAGTAGATTTTTGTATATGGTATAAGGAAGAGGTCCAGTTTTAATCTTCTGCATATGGTTAGCCAGCTATCCTAGCATCATTGATTGAATGGGGAGTCCTTTCTCTATTGCTTGTTTTTGTCAACTTTGTTGAAGATCATATGGTTGTAGGTGTGTGGCTTTATTTCTGGGTGTTCTATGTGACTGTTTTTGTACAAATACCATGTTGCTTTTGTTACTGTAGCCTTGTAGTATAGTTTGAAGTCAGGTAACATGATGCCTCCAGCTTTGTTTCTTTTAATTAGGATTGCTTTGGCTATTTGGGCTCTTTTTTGGTTCCATTTGAACTTCAGAATCATTTATTCTAATTCTACAAGGAATGTTATTGGTAGTTTGACAGGAATAGCATTAAATCTGTAAACTGTTTTAGGCAGTATGGCGATTTTAACAAGATTGATTCTTCCCATCCATGAGCATAGAATGTTTTTCTATTTATTTTTGTCATCTCTGATTTCTTTGGGCAGTGTAATCCTTGTTGTAGAGACCTTTTACCTCTCTGGTTAGTGTTTTGTAAACAACTTGGAATGTGTGAGGTATGAAAAGGAGTGTTTATAATTATATCTTGATTTTATTTCTATGAATTAAGGAATCAAGGGTCTTTGTAAAACATCTTTTGATAGTTTATTGAGATAAAATTTAAATACATTACTGCATATATTTAAATATACAATTGGTCTACCTGTAAAACCATCATCACAATCAAGATAGTAAACAGACCCATCACCCCCAAAAGTTTTCTTATGCCCTCTGTTATCTCTCTTTCTTATCGCTCCCCATCTCTTTCCTAGGCAACTCCCTGATCTGCATTCTGATAATAAAATTTAATTTGTATTAAATATTTATATAAATTGAATCATGCAGCATGTATTCTTTTTAGTCTGTTTGCTATCATTCAGCATAATTATTTTGATACACACCCATGTGTTGCATTTATTAATAGTTCATTATATTTTATTTTTCTGTTGTAGTAATTTGTACGGATATACCACAATTTGTAGATGTTGGTAAATGTTAGATTGTTTCCAGTTTTTAGCTGTTACAAATAAAGCTTCCATAAACATTTATTTTCTTGTCTTTGTGTGAACATATGTTTTCATTTCTGCTCCTCAAATATCTAGAAATGAAATGTCTAGGTGTATGTTGGTGTATGTTTAACTCTTTATGACATTAACAAACTTTTTAAAATGTGGTTGTACCATTTTACATTCCCACCATCAGTGGTGAATTAAAGTTACAGTTCTGTTTCCTTGCTAACACAAGGTAAGATCAGTCTTTTTTATTTTATTTTATTTATTTATTTTTTAAGTCTTGCTCTCTCTCCCAGTCTGTAGTGCAGTGGCGAGATCTCAGCTCACTGCAAGCTCCGCCTCCCGGGTTCATGCCATTCTCCTGCCTCAGCCTCCCAAGTAGCTGGGACCACAGGCGTTCGCCACCATGCTTGGCTAATTTTTTGTACTTTGTAGTAGAGATGGGGTTTCCCTGTGTTAGCCAGGATGGTCTTGATCTCCTGACCTCATGATCCGCCCGCCTCAGCCTCCCAAAGTGCTGGGATTACAGGTGTGAGCCACCACGCCTGGCCAGATCAGTCTTTTTAACTTTAGCCAATCTGGTAGATGTGTAGTAGTCTCTCAATGTGATTTTAATATGCATTTCCCTGATGATAAATTATGTTTACCATTTTTAATGTGGTTATTCGGTAATCAGAAAATCTACCTCACAAAAATGCTTATGTAAATGTTTTGCCCATTTTCATTTGGTTCATTTTTTAAATTTAGTTTGGGAAGTTCTTTTTACATTCTAGATACAAGGCCTTCATCAGATATGTAATTTGCAAGAATTTTCTTTAGGTCGTGGTTTTCCTTTTATTTCTTTTATTCAGTTAACAGATTTTTATTTTTCCTTTAAAAGAGAAGAATTAATTGTTATAAGGTCCAAATTATCATTTGTTTTTCTTTTATGGTCAGTGTTTAGTGTCATAGCTAAGAAATTTTTGCTTAATGCAAGATCACACACATTTTCATGTGACTTTTATTTGGCTTATAGTATTGTAAGTATTATAATTTACATTTATGTTTATGAAAATTTTGAGATAAGTTTTGTGTATGATGTAAGGTATGGATCCAAGGTTTTTTTTTTTCTTAGTGTGTGTACATGGTGGTAAAAAATTTTGTCTGGCCCAAAGAGAGGTCTGATCTCTGCCCTTGGCTTGTAGGAGGTATAACTGACAGGATTGTTTTCAGGGTGAGGAGTGGCCATGTTAGATGTTAGGATGGAGGAGGTCACACTTGTTTAGTTTTAGAGTTGGGAATGGTCATGTCAGAAAGACCAACAATGTGACTTAAGATTGGGGGCTTTTGGTTATGTGGTGTCAGTAGACCCGGAAACTTTGTTCAAACACAAGGGAAATCAGTCAATCAATCATGCATATATAATAAAGCCCCAATAAAAAAAACTCCTCCCTGAAGCTTGGGCAAGCCTTTTTGGTTGACAGTTCTCTGTGTGCATTATCCTGTGTTGATGACAGTAGAGTGACATGTCTGGACTCTGTGGGAAAGGACAACAGCAGCTACTGGAGTCCACCTTGTACACATATTTCTTTGGCTGAAATTTTTCTATATCCTTTCCCTGTATTGAATAATAACTGTGAGTATAATAGCTCTCAGTGAGTCCTGTGAGTCCTTCTAATGCTATCAAACTTGAGGGTGGTGTGGGGAACTCCTTTGACTTTGTGATCAGTGTCAAAAGTGGCAGGAGTCTTGAGAACTGTGCCCTTTAACTTTGTACTTGGCTCTAAGCTCCTTGCAGTATGGATATCCAATTGCCCCAATACCAATTATTGAAAAGACAATCTTTGTAACTTTGTCAAAAATTAGTAATCCATAAACATGTGAATCTATTTCTGGACTGTATATTCTGTTCCATTTATCTATGTCTCTATCTTCATCAATACCAGATTGTCTTGATTGCTGTAGCTTTATAACAAATCTTGAAATCAGGTAATGTTCATCCTCCAGTTTTGTTCATATTTTAGAAACTTCTTTTGAATATTCTAGATACATCCTATTTCCCTATAAATCATCAGTTTGTACAAAAAGCCTGATGACATTTTGATTGCATTGAATCTAAAGATAAATTTGAGAGATCCATGAACACTAAATATCTCTTCATTTATCTGGATTTTCTTCAGTTTTTCAGTGCATTTTATGGTTTAAAGTGTACAGGTCTTGCACATCTTTTGTCATATTTATTCCTAAGTGTTTTATATTTTTGATGCTATGGAGGGGTATTTTTTAAAATTTTAATTTATGATTGTTGTTTGATAGTAGAAATCCAATTGGTGTCTTTTGTATATCGATCTTGTATTTTGAAAGCTTTGTAAATGCACCTGTTAGTTCTACTAGCTTTTTAATATATCCTATCAGATTTTATACACAGGTCCTAATGTCACTTTTGAATAAAAATAATTAATTCTTCCTCACCAATTTTGAGGTCTTTTCTTTATACCTTGCCTATTTTTACTGGCTAGAACTCCTACTACAGTACTAAATAGACTCAAAGAGTTGTTCTGATCTTAAGGGGAAGCTATTTAATATTTGTCATGAAGTATGATGTAAACTACACTTTTTTCAAAAATACTCTTTGTCAAATTGGCTTTTCTTTCTATTCTTAATTTGCTGAAAGTTTCTAGTCAGGAATATATGTTGGATTTGAGTAATCTTTAGCACATTATGATTATATATGACATTTCTTTTTCAGTTTAGTTAATGTGGTGAATTACGTTGTTTGATTTTTGAATATTAAACTAACCTTGCATTCCTGTAATAAATACCACTTGGTCATGATAAATTATCTTACATATTGCAAATTTGATTATTTAAAATGTTTATAATTTTTCATCTATCTTCATGAGGAGTATTAGTATATAGTGATTTTTTCTTATGTCGTTGGTTTTGGTATCAGAGTAATGCTAGCTTCATGAAATGCATTAAAAAGTTGCTTCTCATGTTCAAGTTTCTGAAGGAGTTTATGTAAATTTAATATTACTTTTTATTAGATATTTGGTAGATTTTATCAGTGATACCTTGTAGGGCTGGAATGACCTTTGTGTGAAGGTTTCAACTATAAATGCAAACACAAAAGTATTGTTATAGTGACATTTAGCTTGTCTATTTCTTCTTGCATGAATTTGATACTTTGGCTATTTCAAGGAATATATTCATTTTATCTATTATCAGGCGTTAGAAAACTATAACTCAGAAGCCAAATTGATCATGTAGCCGTGCCAACTAAGCACATATACATATATATGTATATGTATATATCTACACACACAAATATATAAAATATACATACACACATATGTGTGTGTGTGTCTGTTTTTACATTTTTAGAGAATTGGAAAATAACAAAGAAAAATAGGAGACAAAGACTGCATATAGAGTACAAACTTTGAACATTCATTGTCAGCCTTGATCCTTAAAGTGTTTACTGATCCTTGATCTAAATTGGTAAATTTATTGGCATTGAGATAGTAATAATCCCTTATTATTTTAATATCTATAGATGTGTAGTGAGGCTATTTTTCATATTGCTGATATTGGTCATTAACATCATTTTTCTTTTTTCACTGATTATTCTGGCTGGAAGTTTATAAATTTTGTTGATCTTAAAAAAAACAACTTTTAGTTTGAGTAACTTTTGTGTATTTGTTTCTGATTTCTATTTTATTGTTTTCTGCTCTGATCTTTATTATTTTATTTTTCTTTAGAGTTTTAATTTGTTCTTTTTTGTTTTTGTTTTTATTTTTTTAATTAGAAGGCAAGATCACTTATTTAAGACCTTTCTTCTGTAATACAGGTGGTTAATCCTATTAATTATCCCTCTAAGAACTGCTTCTAGATGCATTCCTCAAATTTTAATATGCTCTGCTTTTATTTTCTTTCAATTGAAATTATTTTCTAAAGTTACATTGACTGTTTCTTTGACTCATGAATTATATAAAGGTTTATTATTTAGTTTTGACATATTTGGGGATTTTCCAGATCGTTCTTTATTATTAATTTCTCATTTAATTTGATAGTGGTCAGATAATATACTTTGTATGACCGGACTCCTTTTAAATTTATTACCCGCTACTGAGGCAAGACTCTTCTTATATTCCGCTCAATGTTTCATTAATTATGAGATTTTCCAATCTGACTGGAAAGCACTGGCACTATTCCCAGCCTGTGAGATCTCCAGAGTTCTCTCCCTGCGCAGTTCCCATATTCTGCCTTATGAACTCTAGCTGCTTGGTCTCCCAGAATTATCTGCTCCATCTCTTGGACTTAGGGAGACTTCCATGTTTCAGTTGCATTGCCCCTCTCTGTGTCACGTACTGAGAACTCTGCGTAGTGAGCCTGCACAGATCTTGGACTTACATTTGCTTTCTTTTCCTTAGGGATCCCAGTCCTCTGTTGCCTGCTGTCCATTATCTTCAGAACAATTTCTAAATATATTTTGTCTAGTGTTTTTGTTTTGTTTTCAGTAGAGAGTAAATCCAGTCCATGTTACTCTCTTTTGGCTGGAAGACATCAAAATTTCTTCACAAACATGAAAAGTGTGTCAGATTTAACTACTTGTCATTCTGACTCCAAATTAATGAATACTAGATCCCAATTGTCCTTTGAATGAATCAAATTTCTCATTCATTTT